>NC_000005.10:94049200-94352231 GCF_000001405.40 Homo sapiens | reverse complement strand
TGTTTTGTTCTTGCTGATTTGTTTGAGTTCTTTGTAAATTCTGGATATGAGTCCTTTGTCAGATGTATAGATTGTGAAGATTTCCTCCCACTCTGTGGGTTGTCTGTTTGCTGTTTCTTTTGCCATGCAAAAGCTCTTTAGTTTAATTAAGTCCCAGCTATTTATCTTTGTTTTTATTGCATTTGCTTTTGGGTTCTTGATCATGAAATCCTTGCCTAAGCCAGTGTCCAGAAGGGTTTTTTCCAATGTTATCTTCTAGAATTTTTATAGTCTCAGATCTTAGGTTTATGTGCTTAATCCATCTTGAGTTGATTTTTGTATAAGGTGAGAGATGAGAATCCAGTTTCATTCTCCTACATGTGGCTAGCCAATTATCCCAGCACCATTTATTGAAAAGGGTGTCCTTTCCCCACTTCATATTTTTGTTTGCTTTGTCGAAAATCAGTTGGCTTTATTTCTGGGTTATTTATTCTGTTCCATTGGGCTATGTGCCTATTTTTGTACCAGTACCATGCTGTTTTGATGACTATGGCCTTCTAGTATAGTTTGAAATCAGGTAGTGTGATGCCTCCAGATTAGTTCTTTTTGGTTAGTTTTGCTTTGGCTATGCAGGCTCTTTTAGGGTTCCATATGAATTTTAGAATTGTTTTTTCTAATTCTGTGAAGAATGATGGTGGTATTTTGATGTGGATTGCATTGAATTTGGAGATTTCTTTTGGCAGTATAGTCACTTTCACAAAATTGATTCTACCCATCTATGAGCATGGGATGTGTTTCCATTTGTTCATGTCATCTATTATTTCTTTCAGCAGTGTTTCGTAGTTTTCCTTGTAGAGGTCTTTCAACTCCCTGGTTAGGTGTATTCCTAAGTGGTGTTTTTTGTTGTTGTTGTTGTTGTTTTTTCAGCTATTGTAAAAGTGGTTGAGTTGTTGATCTGATTCTCCACTTGGTCACTGCTGGTGTATAGAAGAGCTACTAATTTGTGTACATTAATCTTGTATCCAGAAACTTTGCTGAACTCTTTTATCAGCTCTAGGAGCTTTCTGGAGGAGTCCTTAGGGTTTTCAAGGTAAATAATCCTATCATCAGCAAACTGATGTGACTGTTTGACCTCCTCTTAACCAATTTGGATGCCCTTTATTTCTTTCTCTTGTCTGGATTGCTCTGGCTAGGACTTCCAGTACTACATTGAAGAGGAGTGGTAAGAGTGGGCATCCTTCAGGAGGCTGAGGCAGGAGAATCACTTGAATCTGGGAGGCAGAGGTTGCAGTGAGCCAGGATCATGCCATTGCACTCCAGCGTGGGCAACAAGAGCGAGACTCCATCTCCAAAAAAAAAAAAAAAAGAGTGGACATCCTTGTCTTGTTCCAGTTCTCAGAGGGAATGCTTTCTACTTTTCCCCATTCAGTATTATGTTGGCTGTGGGTTTGTCATAGATGGCTTTTATTACATTAAGGTATGTCCCTTGTATGCTGATTTTGCTGAGAGTTTTAATCGTAAAAGATGCTGGATTTTGTCAAATGCTGTTTCTGCATCTATTAAGATGATCATATGATTACTGTTTTTAATTCTGTTTATGTTGTGTCACATTTATCGACTTGTGTATGTTAAACCATCCCTGCATCCCTGGTATGAAACCCACTTGATCATGGTGGATTATCTTTTTGATATGTTGTTGGATTCGGTTAGCTAATATTTTGTTAAAGATTTTAGCATCCATGTTCATCAAGGATATCAGTCTGTAGTTTTCTTTTTTGGTTATGTCCTTTCCTGGTTTCAGTATTAGGGTGATGCTGGCTTCATAGAATGAATCAGGGAGGGTTCCTTCTTCCCCTATCTTGTGGAATAGTGTCAAAAGGATTGGTACCAATTCTTCTTTGAATATCTGATAGAATTCTGCTGTGAATCTGTCTGGTCCTAGACTTTTTTTTGTTGATAATTTTTAAATTACTATTTCAATCTCGCTGCTCGTTATCGGTCTGTTCAGAGTATCTCATTCTTCCTGATTTAAGCTAGGAGGGTTGTATTTTTTCCAGGAATTTATCCATCTCTTCTAGGTTTCCTAGTTTATGTGCATAAAGGTGTTCATAGTAGCCTTGAATGATCTTTTGTATTTCAGTGGTGTCAGTTGTAATATCTCCTGTTTCGTTTCTTAGTGAGGTTATTTGGATTTTCTCTCTTCTTTTCTTGGTTAATCTTGCCAGTGGTCTATCTATTTTATTTATCTTTTCAAAGAACCAGCTTTTTGTTTCATTATCTTTTGTATTTCTTTGTTCCAGTTTCATTTAGTTCTGCTCTGATCTTGGTTATTTCCTTTTTCTGCTGGGTTTGGGTTTGGTTTGTTCTTGTTTCTCTAGTTCCTTGAGGTGTGACCTTGGAGTGTCAGTTTTTACTCTTTCAGTCTTTTTGATGTAGGCGTTTAGGGCTACGAACTTTCCTCTTAGCACTGCCTTTGCTATAGCCTAGAGGTTTTGATAGGTTATGTCATTATTGTCATTCAGTTCGAAGAATTTTAAAATTTCCATCTTGATTTTGTTTTTGACCCAGTGCTCATTCAGGAGCAGGTTATTTAATTTCCGTGTATTTGCATGGTTTTGAAGTTTCCTTTTGGAGTTGATTTCCAGTTTTATTCCACTGTGGTCTAAGAGAGTACTTGATATGATTTCAATTTTCTTAAATTTATTGAGGCTCGTTTTATGGCTTATCATATGGTCTATCTTGGAGAAAGTTCCATGTACTGTTGAATAGAATGTGTATTATGTGGTTGCTGGATGAAATATTCTGTATATATCTGTTAAGTCCATTTGTTCCAAGGTATTGTTTCTTTGTTGACTTTCCGTCTTGATGACCTGTCCAGTGCTGTCAGTGCAGTACTGAAGTCCCTCACTGTTTTTGTGTTGCTGTCTATCTCATTTCTTAGGTCCATTAGTAATTGTTTTATAAATTTGGGAGCTATGGTGTTAGGTGCATATATATTTAGGATTGTGATATTTTCCTGTTGGACAAGGCCTTTTACCATTACATAATGTCCCTTTTTGTCTCTTTTAACTGCTGCTGCTTTAAAGTTTGTTTTGTTTGATATAAGAATAGCCACCCCTGCTTGCTTTTGGTGTCCATTTGCATGAAATGCCTTTTTCCACCCATTTAAGTTTATGTGAGTCCTTATGTGCTAGGTGAGTCTCCTAAAGACAGCAGATAGTTGGTTGGTGAGTTCTTATCCATTCTGCAGTTCTGTGTCTTTTAAATGGAGCATTTAGGTCATTTACATTCAATGTTAGTGTTGAAATGTGAGGTACCATTGCATTCCTCATGCTCTATGTTGCCTGTGTACTTCGGATTTTATTTTTGCTTTTTAACTTGTATTTTTGTTTTATAGGTCCTGTGTGATTTAAGCTTTAAAAAGGTTCTGTTTTGATGTGTTTCCAGGATTTGTTTCAAGATTTAGAGCTCCTTTTAGCAGTTCTTCTAGTGGTGGCTTGGTAATGGCAAATTCTGTCAGCATTTGTTCTCTGAAAAAGTGCTTTAACTCCTGCTGCTTTAAAGTTTGTTTTGTTTGATATAGGAATAGCTACCCCTGGTCACTTTTGGTGTCCATTTGCATGAAATGCCTTTTTTCACCCATTTTCTTTAAGTTTCTGTGAGTCCTATGTGCTAGGTGAGTCTCCTTTCCTTCCTGTATGATGCTTAGTTTTGCTGGATACAAAATTCTTGGCTGAGAATTGTTTTGTTTGAGGAGGCTGAAGATAGGGCCCCAGTCCCTTCTAGCTTGCAGGGTTTCTGCTGAGAAATCTGCTATTAATCGGATAGGTTTTTCCTTTAAAGGTTACCTAGTGCTTCCGTATCATAGCTCTTAAGATTCTTTCCTTCCTCTTAACTTTGGATAACCTGATGACAGTGTACCTAGGTGAAGATCTATTGGTGATGAATTTCCAGGGTGTTCTTTGTGCTTCTTGTATTTGGATGTCTAGGTTTCTCACAAGGTCAGGGAAGTTTTCCTTAATTATTTCCCGAAATACGTTTTCCAAACTTTTAGAATTCTCTTCTTCCTCAGGAACACTGATTATTCTTAGGTTTGGTCATTTAACATAATCCCAGATTTATTGGAGGCTTTGTTCATATTTTCTTATTCTTTTTTCTTTGTCTTTGTTGGATTGGGTTAATTTCAAGACCTTGTCTTCGAGCTCTGAATTTCTTTCTTCTACTTCTTTAATTCTATTGCTGAGACTTTCCAGAGCATTTTGCATTTCTAAACATATGTCCAACCTTTCCTGAATTTTTGATTGTTTTGTCTTTAAGCTATCAATTTTCTTGAATATTTCTCACTTCATTTCTTGTATCATATTTTGGATTTCCTTGCACTGGGCTTTGCCTTTCTTTGGTCCCTCCCTGATTAGCTTAATAACTAATCTCCTGAATTCTTTTTCAGGTAAATCAAGGATTTCTTCTTGGTTTGGATCCATTGCTGGTGAACTAGTGTGATTTTTGGGAGTTGTTGAACAGCCTTGTTTTGTCATATTACCAGAGTTGGTTTTCTCATTTGGATAGGCTCTTTTAGAGGGAAGGTCTAGGGCTGAAGGATGTTGTTCAGTTTCTTTGGTCCCACAGGGTATTCCCTTGATGTAGTACTCTCTCCCTTTTCCTATGGATGTGGCTTCCTGTGAGCCAAACTGCAGTGATTGTTGTCTCTCTTCTGAGTCTAGCCACCCAGCGAGTCTTCCCAGCACCAAGCTGTACTGGGGGTTGACTGCACAGAGTCCTGTGATGTGAACTGTCTATGGGTCTCTCAGCTGTGGATACCAGTGCCTGTTCCGGTGGAAGTGGCAGGGGGTGCAATGAACTCCGTGAGGGTTTTTAGCTTTGGTGATTTAATGTTCTATTTTTGTACTGGTCGGCATCCTGCCAGGAGGTGGCACTTTCCAGAGAGCATCAGCTGTGGTATTACGGGGAGGAACCAGCAGTGGGCGGAGCCCTAGAACTCCCGATTATATGCCCTTTTCTGCTACTAGGGTGGGTAGGGAAGGACCATCATGTGGGGGCAGGGCCAAGTGTGTCTGAGCTGAGACTCTTCTTAGGTGGGTCTTACCGAGGCTGCTGTGGGAATGAAAGTGAGATTCCCAGGTCACTGGAGTTGTATACCTAGGAAGATTATGGCTGCCTCTGCCAAGTCATGCAGGTTGTCAGGGAAGTGGGGAAAAGCTGGCAATCACAGGCCTCACCCAGCTCCCAAATAAACTGAAGGGCCAGTCTCACTCCCATCATGACCCGACAACAGCCCCCAGACCTTTTCCAGGCAGAGTCATACAGGCTTGAAAACCTGCCCCAGGCTATCTGCCTCCAAGTTGTGGAAAAAAAAGGGCTTGGTTCGTCCCCCACCTGTGGAGTACGCACGCTGGATTTGTGCCCTCCCCCAAGTTCTGGCCAGGAGACTTCTTGCCCTGTTCAAACTGTTACGAAGTTCAGCTAGAGATTTGCTTCTCCCTGTATAATTTTAATCCCTGCTTCTCTCCCGTTGGATCCCTGTGGTGCCAGGCAGGAATGGCCCGCTAGGGGACCCAACAAGCTCCCAGGGCCTTTCTGCTGCTTCGTCTACCCCTGTATTTCGCTCGGCTCTCCAAATAGACTCAGCTCCAGGTAAAGTCGCAAACTTCTCCCACAAGCAGACCTTCAGTTTCTCCAGTGGCGGTGTGTGTTTGGGAGGGGAGGGTCTTCTTTTCCTACTTCTGCAGTTGGGGCACTCACAGTTTTGGGGATGTCTCCTGGGTCCTGCAGGAGCAGTCTGCTTCCTTTGGAGGGTCTGTGAATCCTCTCGGGATTGCTGGTTTGTTCTTGCAGTCGATCTGGAAAATCATTATCTTAAAATTCTGTGCTTTTAATATATAGTACTTAATATAATTTTATACCCCACAACAAAGTTATAAATCCATTCTGCTTGTTATCTAATTTGATCAATTAACATAAGAAAATAAACTATAACTTCCCTCAAATGACTTAATTTGGGGCAGTACTTTGTAGCTGGTTTCCACTCAGGAATATTCTTGACTATTGAATGATAGTAAGGGAGGAGACCACCCCTCATATTGTCTTATCCCAATTTCTGCCTCCAAAGAAAGAAGAAGTAAAAACTAAAAGGCAGAAATGAAATCCACAGGCAGACAGCCCGGTGCCACACCCTGGGCCTGGTATTTAAAGATCGACCCCTGACTAATCAGTTATGTTATCTATAGATTACAGACATTGTATGGAAAAGCATTGTGAAAATCCCTGCCCTGTTCTGTTCTGTTCTAATTACCGGTGCATGCAGCCCCCAGTCACGTACCCCCTGCTTGCTCAATGATCACAACCCTCTCATGTGGACCCCCTTAGAGGTGTAAGCCCTTAAGAGGGACAGGAATTGCTCACTCGGAGAGCTCGGTTTTTGGAGACATGAGTCTTGTCGAAGCTCCCGGCTGAATAAAGCCCTTCCTTCTTTAACTTGGTGTCTGAGGGGTTTTGTCTGCAGCTTGTCCTGCTACAATAGCAGATTAAAAAAATCTGAAGAAATTTATTTTCTAAAGGGAAGAAAATAGAACCTAATATGTTTAGAGCTTTTGTTATTCATCTGATAATATGCTGTATATTTATCCATAAACTTTTAATCCTGAAAATTATTCTATAAAACATTTGTCATATTCTCAATTATAAAGATGAGAAAATAGTTTCAAAGAAAGAATTTTCAGTGTCACACACTTTACACATAGCCAAGTTGAGATTCAAGTCTAAGGCTGACAGTTGACTCCAAAGCCACAAGCCCACATCCTTTTCAATACAGACTGCTTGCAAAATACAAGTTGTAATGACATGTGACATGGATATTTTTCTTTCTAGGAACATGTATGTTCCTAGGAACATAACATATATGTTATTTTTAAAGATTTTATTGTGAAGTATATCAAGCAGTAGTGACACAAAACTTAAATGTGAAGCTTTATAAAGTATCATAAGGCAAACGTTCATTTAAACACCACTGATAACCTATGCCCAGGAATAGAATATTGCCAGCACCCTTGAAGTTCCCCACCCTCACCACGCTCTTTCTGAACACCATCCTCTTCTTTCTCCTATAAGATTACTACTATCTTTACTTCTAACATTATAGTCCAGACTTTTTTTTTTATGGTAACGTATACATAAAATGTACCATTTAACCATTTTAAACTGTATAGTTCAGCAGCATTAAGTATATTCACATTGTTGTATAATCACTACCACCATCCATCTTCAGAATTTTTCATCTTTTCAAACTGAAACTGTACCCATTATCAATAACTCCCATTCCTCTCTTCTCCCAGCCCCTAGCAACCACCATGCTATTTTCCGTCACTGAATTTGACCACTCTAGGTACCCCATGTAAGTGGAATCATACAATATTAATCCTTCTGTGACTGGGCATATTTCTTTCAGCATGATATCTTCAAGGTACATCCATGTTGTAGCACCTGCCAGGGTTTCCTTCCTTTTAAAGGCCAAACAATATTGCATTGTATGTATGTACCATATTTGTTTATCTAGTTATCTATCAATGTACAACTTGTACAACTTTGGTTGCTTCTACCTTTGGTCTATTATGAAGAATATTGCCATGAACATGGATGAACAAATAGCTGTTTCAGTCCTTGCTCTCAGTCGTTTGGGTTATATACCTAGAAACAAAATTGCTGGATTATATGCTTAATTTTTTGAAGAACTGCCATATTGTTTTCCATAGCAGCTGTACTATTTTACATTATCATTAGCAGTGCACAAGTGTTCTAACTTATCCAGATCCTTGCCAACAATTGTTATTTTTGTGTTTTCATTGTAGATTTGTTCTTTTTGAAAACTTTACATACATGAAATAATGCATATTTTCTTCTTATTCTGGCTTTTTTTTGCTCAGTTTGCGAGATTCTTGCATGCAGTTGAATATAGATGAAGCTGTATATTTTTTATTACTGTGTAGTATTCCATGTATGACAACATCAATTTATTACCTACTCCACTGTTGATGAATATTTGGATTGTTCTAGTTCTTAGTTATTATGAATAATGCTGGGAACATTGATATACATGAACCTTGGGGTATGTGTGAGCAATTTGTTTTTATATACCTAGAAGTAGAATTTCTGGATCACAGGGTAGGCATATGTTCAACATTAGATTGTGCCAAGCTATTTTCCAAAGTTGTTTTACTAGTTTACATTTCCGCCAGAAATTTGTAGAGTTCTCACTGCATCATATCCTTCCTAGTGCAAATGTGCTTTTCACCATTCTAATAATTACTGATGATGTGGAACATTTTTGTTTTTACATATTTATTGAGCATTTGGATAGTCTCTTTCATAAAATGTCTTTAAGCCTCCTGCCTATTTTTTCTATGGATTCTTTTGTCTTTATTGATTTGCATGCAAAAATATTGATAAGATGGATGGAAGGGTAGATAGATAGAGGGATACAAACTTTTTGTTGCAAATGTCTTCTATTTCTTGGCTTGCCTTTTCACTTTCTTTTTTTGTTTTTGTTTTTGGAGATGCAGTCTTGCTCTGTTGCCCAGGCTAGAGTGCAGTGGCACCATCTCGGCTCACTGCAAGCTCTGCTTCCCGGGTTCACGCCATTCTCCTGCCTCAGCCTCCCCAGTAGCTGGGACTACAGGCGCCCGCCACTAGGCCCGGCTAATTTTTTGTGTTTTTAGTAGAGACTGGGTTTCACTGTGTTAGCCAGATGGTCTCTACCTCCTGACCTCATGATCCACCCACCTCTGCCTCCCAAAGTGCTGGGATTACAGGTGTGAGCCACCACACCTGGCCTCCTTTTCACCTTCTTAATGATGTCTTTGGTAAATAGAAGATTTTAATGTCAATGTAGTAAAGATTTATAAGACAACCTTCCTTTATGGATGATGGTTCTTCTGCCCTTTTAAATAAACCTTTCCCTACCCCAAAGTCATGAAGATATTTTAAATTAGCTGTCAACATATTCAAAAAAAGGTGGAAGGCTGCTGAGAATTTCAGTGAATTTACATTATATGTATAGATGAATTTGTAGATAATTGATACCTTCATAAGATATCAATTGATCTTGGCTTGGTCTTCCAAGCTATGAACATTGTATTTCCTCCATGGGTCTTTAATTTTTCTTACTGTTCTCTTGTTTTCTGCAAAGGTATGTTGTCCATCTTGTATTAGAATTTATTTTTAAGTATTTGATATACTCAATGCTATTATAAATGTTATATATTTATAAGCTTTTGTTTTCTCTTTTTTGGTACACAGAAATGAAGAGATTATTGATACTGAGTCTTTGCTCAACTCACTTATTCTAGTAATTTTACTAGAACATTTTTTGACATCTACTCAAATCATTTAATTGAAAAAATATCTTAATGCATTCATTTTTAATTATTAGCACATTTTTAATATGATTTTTTTCTTACTTTATTGCCTTGGTTAACAGCTTTAATATAGTATTAAATTGACATGGTGGTCATAATGAGCATCCTTCTGTCATCCTAATCTCAAAGAAGAAAGCCTACTTGAAATTCTTCCTTAATTTCTATAAATAATGAAACATCAGGGTAAACTTTTGGACAATTTTTGTTTTATAACTTCAACTCATTAACAATGATATGGTATATGGAGAGATTACATTTTATCTAAAACTACCCTCAGTTCTTACTTATCAAAGCCTCTGTGTCACTGACTTTTCTAAAAATCAAAATCCTTAAAATTGAATCCTCTGAATTTTAGACATCTCACCTGATATTTTGATACTGACTTCCAAATTTATATATGTGACATTATTCCTTTCATTTTACAACAACTGTTTAAAAATGTGGTTTGGTGTATATTCTGCAGTAACCTCACAAATTCTTGTTAATTAATTTAACAGTATGTTATTTGAAGAAAAAGATACACTTGACTGTTTCAATATATTTTACTAGCTGTATCTCTATTACTAAAAAAATTTTTTTTAGTGAGACAATTTTGGTGCAAATCCTTCAGGTTGTTCTTTTTTTTTTTTGAGACGGAGTCTGGCTCTGTCACCCAGGCTGGAGTGCAGTGGTGCGGTCTCGGCACACTGCAAGCTCCGCCTCCCAGGTTCATGCCATTCTCCTGCCTCAGCCTCCCAAGTAGCTGGGACTACAGGCGCCTGCCACCACGCCCGGCTAACTTCTTTTTGTATTTTTAGTAGAGACGGGGTTTCACCACGTTGGCCAGGATGGTCTCGATCTCCTGACCTCATGACCCGCCTGCCTTGGCCTCCCAAAGTGCTGGGATTACAGACATGAGCCACCGCGTCTGGCCGAGATTGCTCTTAATCTGAGATGAGGGGAGTCTTTATTTCCCTCAGTATAGTATATATATTTTTGATCACTCAAATGCCCCATTATTCCAGATTATTGAAATAAATAATTACAGCTGTCATTTTGGTTTAATGTGACAATGAAAATAACTGTAAGAGATAAATCTCCCTTTTTTTTTATTTCACTAGATTGAAAAAGCAATCCATGTACTTTTCATTGACCTCTCTTCACCTCTCTTAATCAAGACATTTCTGTCTAAAATAATATTTGGAAAAGGATAGGCATAAAGAGAGCTGCATGAAAATGCTAACACATCTTCAGTTTCACTCTTTCATTAATGGCCATGCTCTTCCTTTTGCTATTATCTATGGACTCAGCCCTCCATCCTACCTCGAACCCTCATTGCTGTGACAAATGATCAATTCCGTGATTCAGATTCGTTGAGATCAGCTAGGTGTACTCCATGATAATGATGATGATGGATGATGATGAAAGAGATAGCAGCGATGATGATGCTGGGTAGCTAATTTGTAGAACCTTTGAATAGATGTGCCATCCCACATGACAGCAGAAAGTGTGACGGTTTTGTTAGGCATCCATTTTATAAGACAGAGGATTTTAGCAAGTTCTTATATGGGAATTTTAAACAAAACTCTCTGTCTGATATGAAGAAATGTGGCACTTCACATATTTTTAAACTCTGCTTACATAGTATATTAGAAGAAACATTTTTCATATTTTTTCTATAAACATCATTTATCTAACAATTAAAGTAATATCATCTGTTTTATTACACAGATATTATTTTATGCTTGAAACTTTTACTTTTTGAAGCTGAATATTATTAACAGGCTTTCCTTCACCAACACAAAGAAACATCTTTGAGAGACAGAATACCACACTAAAATCATCAGGGACCCATCCGTGGATTTATGCTTAGAAAGAATGGAAGGTAAATATGTAGGTCTATGAAGACCATGTTCTTTCTCCTACTGAATTAATACATCTCAGGCCTCTTCCCAGCACTGCGTTATGCATTTTTTGGGTGAATAATTGAATGATTTTAATTTTGCAAGCTATAAAATTTTATTATATTTTACTTTTTCTCCACTACAACCTGACTCCATCAAGGAGCTCAACTGATGTTTATGCTTGATACTTCAAGTTAGACAGGTATAGCTTGCTGTGCTTTTTAAAGAGTAGCTAACATATGTATCATGTAACATATGTATCATGAGCTTTTTCACATAATGTCAGACTAATTAATGTATTATATTTCACTGCAACAGGATCACATTAGTCTTGATAACTTAATCATTCAGACTGGTCTATTGTCTTCCACCATGAACTTAAAATGATGTAAGTATACTTAGATGCACTGAATTGTGAAAAATATAAAATACGTATGAATATGAACATTTTAAATTGTGAACCAAAATTTGTCTTCATTTTGTATAAATAACTCAGGTAGGTAACCATTAAAGTACGGTTCTTCCTCTGTATCCTTGGATTCTGTATCCAAGGATTCAATTAACCTCAGATTGAAAATATTCCCCCCCAAAAAATGGATGGTTTGTGTCTGTACTAAACATGTACCGACTTTTTTCAGGTCATTATTTCCTAAACAATACAGCATAACAACTATTTTCATAGCACTTACATTGTATTAGGTATTATAAGAACTCTAGAGATGATTTAAAGTATATGGGAAGATGTGTGTAGATTAGAGCATCTGGAGCACCTATGCATTTTGGTATCCAAGAGGATCCTGGAACCAATCCCCCATGGATATCAAAAAACAACTGTATAGGTTAAAAACACAGCATATGTTAACTCAACCAAACATTTTATTTATCATATCAAGGAGAATATGAATAGTATTTTTCAGTGCACATGGGAAAACTTCTAGACACTCTTCAAAAATGATTTCTTTTAAGAGGAATGCTTTCTTTAACCCATAATTGAAGAAAGTAAGATTGGTACTTTTAGAGTTCACTGATGAAAATGGGGATATATTTTAGATTGCTTTTTAAGTTTATAAGGTAGATTTAGTAATTTTAAATAAATATTTGGCCTGTTTCTTAAAGAACAGGACAAGTCTTATGCTACCAAATTCAACTACCATGCTAAATGAGATTCAATACATGTCCTAATTGTATAAGGTTTGTGTTTGGACACAAAAAATGTGGGCCAAACTGACTGAGTTGATGTATAATTATAAGTCTACATGAAAAATGCAATTACGAGTAGTTCCATGGAATTGGAAACTGTGCTTTCTCACATTGTCTCCCGAGTGCCTGGTGAGACATCAGGCTTGGTGGTGGTGGAGAAATACGTGTTGAATGAATGTATGAGAGGAAGCATTTAGAATAAAAATGCGTTGACGCTACAGGAACTAAGACATAAGATATTCAATACGGTTCACCACTGAGTTCTAAAAAACAATGTTTTTCTACTTTGATTTTTAAAAGAACCACAACTCCCAAGTCAATGAGAAAAAGCTTCTGTAAATCAGCCACTAAAGTCTTATTAAATCACAAATACCAAAGATGTAAAAATCTATCTACAATTTTTAGCAACTCATCATACTAAAACTCATCTGGGAAGAAAATATTCATAGGAATTAAAGTGCTTTATTTATAAGAGGCACAATTAAGATGGATGCTCATTTTTAGTGATTAGTATACTACCCCCTAGTTAATAGAATCCTCTAGCTTTCCCCAGAAGATGAGGGTGAGCTAGTGCATTTAGAAGAAAATGGTACCTGTCTACATCTACGAACAGCTTATTTTGCAGAGCGGTATAAAACAAGTTCAATTTTGGTATGTAAAAAAGCATTATTAATATTTTTAAGGAAGAAGAAAGAAATATGTGAAAAAATGATTACAAATATATGTTAAATTATAAGGTTTGATGTCTTTATATAAGGCAAATGTAACAATTTGAATAGTATTTATTTATTTAATAATCTGTTAAAAATTAATGGGCCATTATAGTCTTTATTATTGTAATAGAGAAAAGGACTTTCCTATTTCATATTTGTTCAGTATGTAATAAATCTATTGGATTTTTAAATGTGTTTATACACATATATAATCACTCATTGCTTATTGCTGAGAAATGTGTAATTAGGCAATTTTGTTTTGCAAACATCATAGTGCGTATCTATAAACCTAGATGGTATATGCCTATTATATACCTAGGCTATATGATATAGTCTGTTGCTCCTAGGCTACAAACCTGTACAGCATGTGTCTGTACTGGAATACTGTAGGCAATTGTAACAAAGTGGTATTTGTGTGTCCAAACATAACTAAACAGTACAGTAAAGATATGTTATTATAATAGAAAAAGTACAGTAAAAATATGTTATTATAATCTTACAAGACCAATGTCTTCTATGTAGTTCATTATTGACTGAAATACCATTATGTGGCACATGTGGCACCATATATAGTATACACACACACCCACACATACACACATAAAGTAAATGAAAAGGAGAAATCAGAGCCTGGCATTTTATCCTATAACCTAAGCAGAGTCAAAACGACTACATTTTACTTAAAAAAGGATTCTTTTCCCACATAATTAACATTTAGCTATCTATCCTGACTCAAGGAGATACAGTCATGAAAAGCCCAAAATACTGTAGCATATATACTGCATAAAAAATACTGTTAGATTTTCTTATTGTAACATTAAACATAATTCCTCAATTCAATTCAACCTTCAATGGAGAGAATTATCCCAGCTTAATGGAGAGAATTATCACTCATCTGGTTGAATAAGCTGGGAACCTGGGTGTTGTACTGAACCAGTCTTTCATTCATGCACCCCATTTCCAATCCATCATATATCCATTTATTTCTCTCTCTCCAACCATTCCACTTCTGGTTTCATTTTCACCACTTTAGTGTAAGGTACCATCATCTCCTATGCAGATTACTTCAGGAGCTCGTAACTGGCCTCTGTTCTTCTGTCTACCCAGGTCCTATCCAGTCTCTGCAAGAACAAATCTAATTATGTTATTCTCTTGCTTTAAAAGTCTTCAAAAGCACTTAGAATGAAATCTCAACCTGAAATCTGGCCTACAACTCCTGCATGAGCTGCCCTGCCTGTAGCTCCAGTCTGATTTCATTCCTCACTCACTGTAGGTAACTTCTTATGCCCCAGCCTGTCATGGCCTTCTTTCAGTTCTGGAAATGGTCTATTCTCTTTCCCACTTTGGTGCCTGTGTATGTCCCTGCTCTCTAGACTATTCCTCAGATACACCAACCCTCTTCATTTAAGTTCTCATCAACTTTAATAATAATTCAATGCTAAATTATAATCCATATAGTAAAGAGTAAATGTGCTCATCTCCAGATTTAATCAATAATTATAAATTACAGAACTAACTTGATAAGCTCTTTAAAAAGTGTCAAAGAATAATAAATGTAAACAATAGAGAAACGATAGTATATGTAAATGAAGAATTAACCTAGGATTTATGAGTGGTAGGGTAAGAACAAAGGAAGAATTATACACATTTATTTGAATAAAACCAAATAGCTGAAGAAAGATCTGAATGGACAAATTACAAAATTCACACAAGTTCCAAGCAAGAATCATGAAATAAGATCCATACCAATACGCTGAATTCTTAAAACAACTTTACTGTGGTATAATTTATATACCATAAAACTTAGCTATGTGAATATACAATCTCATTTTTTTTCTAAATTTATAGTTTCCATCACCCCAAAATGTTTCTTTATACAAATCTGCAGTCGATCCTTGCTCCCACCCTCAGCCCTAAAGAACCACGGATCTGCTCTGGACATTTCATATATAAAGAATCATATGATATCTATTTTATACTTGTACTCTGTGGTAATGTTTTTGAGGCACATGTATCAGTTTAAGTAGTTTCTTGTTATTGCTGACTAGTATTCAATTCTTTTAAATGTATTGATACTTATTTAATGGCCTAGCATATGATCCATATTGGAGAATGTTCCATTTTTGCTTGAAAAGAATGTGTATTCTCTGTTGGTGGGAGTGTAAATTAGTTCCGCCATTGTGGAAGACAGTGTGGTGATTCCTCAAAAATCTAGAACTAGAAATACCATTTGGCCCAGCAATCTCATTACTGGGTATATACCCAAAGGATTATAAATCATTCTCCTATAAAGACACATGAACACGTATGCTTACTGCGGCACTATTCACAACAGCAAAGACTTGGAACCAACCCAAATGTCCATCAATGATAGACTAGATAAAGAAAATGTGGCACATATACACCATGGAATACTATGCAGCCATAAAAAAGGATGAGTTCTTGTCCTTTGCAGGGACATGGATGAAGCTGGAAACCATCATTCTCAGCAGACTAACACAGGAACGGAAAACCAAACACTGCATGTTCTCACTCATAAGTGAGAGTTGAACAATGAGAACACATGGACACAAGGAGGGGAACATTACACACTAGGGCCTGTTTGGGGGGTGGGGGGCTAGGGGAGGGATAGCATTAGGAGAAATATGTAATGTAGATGACGGGTTGATGGGTGCAGCAAACCACCATGGCATGTGTATATCTATGTAACAAAACATGCACATTCTGCACATGTATCCCAGAACTTAAAGTATAAAAAAAAAAAAAAGAAAGAAAAGAATGTGTATTGTACTATCATTGGGTGCTCACTTCTATAGCTATTAGTAGAGACAGGGTTTCACCATGTCGGCTAGGCTGGTCTCAAACTCCTGACCTCAGGTGATCCACCCGCCTCAGCCTCCCTAAGTGCTCAGATTACAGGTGTGAGCCACTGTGCCTGGCTGCAATGATTTATGAAACCAGTGTAACCTTGACACTAAATCCTAATGAAGATAATTCTCCTGGAAACTGTAGACAATTATAAATGAGAATATACTAAGCCATATATGAGCAAATCAAATTTGACACAACATTATGGAACAATGCAATGCAATTAACTTAGCTTTATCTTAAAAAGTTAGTGATTATTTAAAATATTATGGCAGTCTGGCAGGGTCAAATTAAAAAGCCATGTGATAATTTTAGTAAGTGACTCAATAATATTAATACACTTCCTGATAAAAATTCTTAGTTATCTAAAACTGAGGTGGATATTCCTTTAACTTAATCTCAACCTAATCATTTTCATCATAATCAATATGGTAAGAGCTAATCTTATTAAAATGGGAATAGGATAAATGCTTGATATAATCAATTATTATTTCATATTATTATTTAGGTTTTAACTCTTGTGGTAAGAGAGGAAATATGTGTAAGTAGTATAATTTGGGGAGAAAATGATATACTATGATAATTATTTCCAATATGATATTTTTACATATAAAATTAATGTGAGAAACAGAATTAAAGAGAGATCAGTTATAAAGCCAGTTTAAAAATAATTGTACAAAATTAATATTTTCTTTATATGGTGGCAATACACTGAAAATATGAGAAATAACAGTAACATCACTAATCCAAGATCACTTGGTACACTCTATGAGAAATATACATAATCTATATTAAGAAAAATGTAAGATTAGACTGAAACAAAAGATAATAAATGAAGACATATAGCATGTTCCAAAGTAGGAAAATTGAATATCATAAAGATGTTATTTTTCCAAACTTAATTTCTAGTTTTACTGCAATTTCTCTCCAAACCTCTACTGAACTTTGGGGGACAGTAAAGTGAGAAACTTGATGACTAATTCTAAATTCATATTGAGGAGTAAATAACAATAGCTATTTTTATTTTAGAAGATAAGTAATGAGGGGGTAATCGAACAACCAGATATTAAACACATAAAAAAATCTGCAATAGTTGAAAGTATAGAATTCATTCAAGAATTGACAAATGAACAGAACAAATCCTGGTTTTATTCAGTTTAATATCTGTGTAAGTCCCTGAGACTTTGAAGTTGTTACAGCATCATAATTTGGTGTATCATGATACACCTTCTGTTTTCTGTGAGATAGGATCCTGTATTTTAAACAGAATTACATGCCAAAATTAAAGCATGTTGCTCTTCTGAGTTTGAAGATCTCACCAAATGGAGAGTGACTTTCCATTACCATGATAAAGCTAGACTTTAAAAAGTAGTTTGTGGCCGGGTGTGGTGACTCACACCTGTAATCCCAGCAGTTTGGGAGGCTGAGGTGGGCAAATTGTTTGAGGTCAGGAGTTCAATACCAACCGGGCCAACATGGTGAAACCCTGTCTCTACGAAAAATACAAAAAATTAGCTGGGCATGGTGGCCCATGCCTGTAGTCCTAGCTACTCAGGAGGCTGAGGCAGGAGAATCACTTGAACCTGGGAGTCGGAGGTTGCAGTGAGCCGAGATTGCACCACTGCAATTCAGCCTGAGCAACAGAATGAGACTTCGTCTCAAAAAAATAAAAAAATTAAAAAAATTAAAAGTCGGTTGTGAAATCTTTATTCTACCTTTTTTCTTCTGGGACCAATAGGAAATTTGTTTATTGGAAGGTAACCAGTGTTTAGCATAACTATTTGGACTTCTTCTGTTGAACTATGTGATATGTTTTGCATAGGCAATCATATCATCTACAAATAGATGTTTCAGTTTTTCCTTTACACTATTTATGTCTTTCATATCTTCTACTTGTCTTACTGCACTGGCTGAGACTTTCTGTATCGTGTTGAACAGGAGTAGCGAAGGCAGACAACTTTTTTTATTCCTGATGTTAAAAAGCATAGTTTATGGTCTTTCACCATTAACTATTATCATTAATCGTAATTTTTTTGTAGATGCACTTTATCAGGTTAAGAAAGTTCCTTCTAATTCTGTGAAGAAAGTCAATGGTAGCTTGATGGGAACAGCATTGAATGTATAAATTACTTTGGGCAGTAGGGCCATTTTCATGATATTGATTCTTCCTATCCATGAGCATGGAATGTTTCTCCATTTGTTTGTGTCCTCTCGTATTTCCTTGAGCAGTGGTTTGTAGTTTTCCTTGAAGAAGTCCTTCAAATCCCTTGTTAAGTTGTATTCCTAGGTATTTTATTCTCTTTGTAGCAATTGTGAATGGAAGTTCACTCATGATTTGGCTCTCTGTGTGTCTGTTATTGGTGTAGAGGAATGCTTATGATTTTTGCACATTGATTTTGTATCCTGAGACTTTGCTGAAGTTGCTTATCAGTGTAAGGACCAAAAAAGATCCTGTATAGCCAAGACAATCCTAAGCAAAAAGAACAAAGCTAGAGGCATCACATTACCTGACTTCAAACTATACTACAAGGCTACAGTAACCAAGACAGCATGGTCCTGGTACCAAAACAGATGTATAGACAAATGGAACAGAACAGAGGCCTCAGAAATAACACCACACATCTACAACCATCTGATCTTTGACAAACCTGACAAAAACAAGCAATGGGTTAAGGATTCCCTATTTAATAAAGATGTTGGGAAAACTGGCTAGCTATATGCAAAAAAACCGATACTGAACCCCTTCCTTAAACCTTATACAAAAATTAACTCAAGATGGATTAAAGGTTTAAACACAAGACCTAAAACGAGAAAAACCCTAGAAGAAAACCTAGGCAATACCATTCAGGACATAGGCATGGGCAAAGACTTCATGACTAAAACACCAAAAACAATTGCAACAAAAGCCACAATTGACAAATGGGATCTAATTAAACTAAAGAGTTTCTGCACAGCAAAAGAAACTGTCATCAGGGAGAGCAGACAACCTACAAAATGGGAGAAAATTTTTCCAATCTATTCATCTGACAAAGGGCTAATATCCAGAATCTACAAGGATCTTAAACAAATTAACAAGATAAAAAGAAACAACCCCATGAAAAAGCGGGTGAAGGATATGAACAGATGCTTTTCAAAAGAAGACATTTATGCAGCCAATAAACATATGAAAAAAAGCTCATCATCACTGGTCATTAGAGAAATGCAAATCAAAACCACAATGAGATACCATCTCATGCCAGTTAGAATGGCAGTTTTCAAAAAGGAAACAACAAATGCTGGAGAGGATGTGGAGAAACAGGAGTGCTTTTACACTGTTGGTGGGAGTGTAAATTAGTTCAACCAATATGGAAGATATTGTGGCAATTACTCAAGGATCTAGAACTAGAAATATCATTTGACCCAGCAATCCCATTACTGAGTATATACCCAAAGGATTATAAATCATTCTAATCATGTAAAAAGACACATGCACACGTATGTTTCTTGCAGCACTATTCACAATAGCAAAGACTTGGAACCAACCCAAATGCCCACCAATGATAGACTGGGTAAAGAAAATGTGGCACATATACAACATGGAATTCTATGCAGCCATAAAAAGGAATGAGTTAATGTCTTTGCAGGGACATGGATAAAGGTGGAAACCATCATTCTCAGCAAACTAACACAGGAACAGAAAACCAAACACCGCATTTTCTCGCTCATAAGTGGAAGTTGAACAATGAGAACATATGGGCACAGCGAGGGAAATGTCACACACCAGGGCCTATCGGGGGTGGTGGCAAGGGGAGGGATAGCATTAGGAGAAATACCTAATGTAGATGACGTGTTGATGGGTGTAGCAAACCACCATGGCACGTGTATACCTATGTAACAAACCTGCATGTTTTGCACATGCATCCCAGAACTTAAAGTATAATTTAAAAAAAAAAAGAAAGAAAAGAAAAGAAAGAAAATTCCTTCTATTTCTGATTTTCTTTTCTTTTTTTTTTTTTTTTTTGAGATGGAGTCTCAGTCTGTCGCCCAGGCTGGAGTGCAGTGGCATAATCTTGGCTCACTGCAAACTCTGCCTCCAGGTTCAAGTGATTCTCTTGCCTCAGCCTCCCAAGTAGCTGGGATTATAGGCACACACCCCTGTGCCTGGGTAATTTTTGTATTTTTAGTAGAGATGGGGTTTCACCATGTTGGCCAGGCTGGTCTCGAACTCCTGACCTCAGGTGATCCACCCACCTAAGGTCCACCCACCTCAGCCTCCCAAAGTGCTGGGATTACAGGTGTGAGCCACCATGCCCAGCCATGTTTCTGATTTTCTGTGTGTGTTTATTGTTTTTAATGAATTGATGTTGAATTTTGTCAAGTTGTTTTTCTGCATCAATTGATAGGATCTTGCAGTTTTTCTTTTTTTCACTTGTTAATATAATGAGTTATATTAATTGATTTTCAAAGTTGAACTATACTTGTATTCCTGGGATAAGCTCCACTTGATTTGTTTGTTAATATTTTGTTGAGGATTTTTCTGTTGATGTTCATGAAAGATACCTGCATGTAGCTTTCTTATAATGTCTTCGTCTGGTTTTAATACTCAGGCAAAGCAGGGTTTGCAGAGTAAATTGTTTCTTCGTTAATTTCCAGGAAGAGATTACATAGAAATGGCATTATTTCTACTTAGACGCTTGGAATAATTTACCAGTGAAACCATTTGGGACTAAAGTTTTCTTTCTGGAAGATTTTAAACTATGAATTAATTTTCTCTGAGAGCTATATACCTATTCTTGTTATCTATTACTTCTTGAATGAGTTGTTTCGAGGAATTGGTTCATTTCATCTTAATGGTCAAATTGATGTGCACAGAGTTCTTCATGAAAAGGAGTAGTCCTTTATTATCCCTTTAATGCTTCTAGAGTCTATAGTGATATCCCTCCTTTTCCTTGTTTTCTTTCTTTTCTTTCTTTCTCTTTCCTTCCTTCCTTCCTTTCTTCTCTTCTTCTTTCTTTCTCTCTCTCTCTCTTTCTTTCTTTTTTTTTTTGAGACAGAGTCTCACTCTTTTGCCCAGACTGGAATGCAGTGGCATGATCTTGGACTGCAACTTCTGCCTCCCAGGTTCCAGCGATTCTCCTGCCTCACCATCCTGAGTAGCTAGGATTACAGGAGCCCACCACCACGTCTGGCTAATTATTTTTGTATTTCTAGTAGAGATGGGGTTTCACAATGTTGGCCAGGGTGTTCTTGAACTCCTGAGCTCAGGTGATTTGTCTGCCTCAGCCTCCCAAAGTGCTGGGATTACAGGTGTGACCTACAGTGCTTGGCCCCTCATTTCATTTCTGATAGTAGTAAGTTGTGTCTTCTCTCTCTCTTTTGAGGGGAAGGGAAGAAAGTCTGAAAAGGTTGATCAATTTAAGCAACCCTTTTAAAGAACTGACTTTTGATTTCATTGATTTTTCTCTATTTTGTTTTTAGTTTTATTGGTTTCTATTCTTTTCATTATTTATTTTGCTGTGCTTTTTTCTAATTTCTTATATCATAATCTTAGATGATTGGTTTGAGATCTTTTCTCTTTTCAACTTCAAGCATTTAATGTTATAAATTTCCCTGCACTGCTTTAATGGCATCTCACAAATTTTGATATGTTGTTTTTCATTTTTATTTAACTAAAAATATTTTTAACTGCCCTTGAGACTTCCTTTGTGAGCCATGGGTTATTTACATTTTTAATATTTGAGTACATTGTGACAATTTTCCAGATATCCTTGTTATTGATTTCTACTTCAATTCCGTTTTGATCAGGTTACATATTTTGTATGATTTCAGCTCAACTAAATATGTTACATTTTGTTATACGGCCCAGAATATGGTCTATGTTATATGTGCACTTGAAATGAATGTTTTCTGCTATCACTGGGAGACCTGTTCTATAAATATGAGTTAGGTCATGTTGGTTAATATTTTTCACCTCTTCTATGTCCTTGCTGGTTTTGTGTCTTTCATTATTCTATGTCCATTTCACCTTTTAGTACTACCACATTGTGCTTTATTGGGTAGGAGAAATTTTGTTACATATATAGATGCATGGTGATCAAATCAGGATACTGAGGGTGTCCATCACCCAAATACACTACATTTTTGTTGAGTATAGTCACCCTACTTTGCTATCAAACATTAAATTTATTCCATCTTACTGTATGTTTGTACCCTTTAAACAGGGTCTCTTCATCTTACTCTGTCTGCAGAACTCACCCAGTATCTGTTATCTATCTTTCTACTCTTTACCTCTGTGTGATCAAATTTTTTAGCTCCCACATATAAGTGAGAACATAGGATATTTGTCTTTGTGTGCTGGCTTATTTTATGTAAGATAATATACCTGCTATAGAGTTTCTGATTCAACATACTGTAGGGCAAAATAAAAAAAGGGGGGGAGGGAAAAAATTAAGGAACTCACTGCCACCAGGTGAGTCTTTATTCACGTCTTGATTTCCCTTCCTAATTTGCGTATTATTTACTTTTCACAGTCCTTAAGTAATTTTGTTTTGTTTTTTATTTTGTCTAGTGTTCTTAGTTCTATCAATGTGAGAAATCAACTACAGTAGACTTACTCCATTTTCTCCCAAACCAGAACTCTACATTTCAAAATATACTACATTCATATACATATATAACTTGATATTTTTACCAGAAAGGCCAAAGAATTATTTCTACTTTGAAGATCAGTTATCTCACCAGCATAGGTTTTGCTTTTATCATTCTGTGTTAATTTTCCCAAGGAAATGCTATGTCCTTTCAATCTGTATATTCAAGTCTCACATTTTTTCTGGAAAGTTTTCTTAAATTATGTCTTTGGATATTTTTCCCATTTCATTTGCTCAGTTCTTTTCTTTAGGGACACCAATTATGCTTATGTTGGATCGCTTTCAGTGCTTTCCATATCTTATATCTTTTATCTTTAGTTTGTTTCTATCTTATTTTCTCAATTAAAAAAAACCTTCTATGTCTGTGCTTCTTTTTGTTGCTCCCAACATGACCTTCAGAAAACAAAATAACTTTAATAAATACTGAGGTAATGTGGCAAAATTTCCATTTCTTTGGGTTTAGAGTTGAGGATAAGATATATTTTGACAATTCTTGGTGTGGTCTCAGGAAGTTGCATAGTATTTCCCCATAACCACCTAGAAATCTGTTTCTAAAAGACACACCTAACAAAACAATAAAATTTACTTTAGAAATGTGACTTTATTTCTTTATATCTACATGTGTAGTCATATTTGAAACATACTTTTAGTTTAATAACTAATTTTAAACAGGAGGACTTATATTTGTTATTATTCTTCATCAAAATTATTCCTTTAACATTTGAAAAGATTTAAGTCTTGTAATTATTGCAAAGGAACATCTGCAGTTTTTTTTTTCTAGCTCTCATTGTAACATTTATTATACAAAGTGCATTTCAAGCAAAGGAGAATGGTATTTGACTAAATGCCATTATTTTCCTCAGTATATCTTATTATAATGGGTATTTTATTATCGATCTATTGTAGTTCAAAACATTAGTAAATAATATAGTAAAAATTGATCATATGACTTTATTCCTGTTATTTCTTTTTAAAAGTAGTACATGCTGATTTTTTTATATCACGCTATGTTCTCATTTAATCAATCTCCTTTTAAACAGTGACAAGAGAATGCAATATCAATCTCTATTCACTTTATTGTTCTATAAGATCCTGTATTGTTAAAGGTGAGAAAATGGAATCATTTTAAAAGATCTATATTTACAATTTTAGCCTATAAATACTATCAAAGGAATTTATTGCCACCATAAGAGCAGTATGTAACTAATGGAAGACACCTAAGAACTTTCTTACATAACATTTTTATAATTACACATAAATTAGTAACCATTTCTGCAAGATTAATTTTTATGTTCTGTATATATGATAATAAATTGATTCAATTATGAAACATAAAAATGCCTTTAAATGCAGTGCAGTAATATATGCTTAATACAACAAATTTTGTTACTGTGTCAGAAGAGGTGACTCTATTATCTATTACAATGACTGCCTATAAACTATTGATGACTTGAAAAAAATCAGAGATGACATACATATTAAATATTGATTATAAAAGTAAGATTTAGAAAACATGAGTTCTTTTTTTTTGAGACGGAGTCTAGCTCTGTCACCAGGCTGGAGTGCAGTGGTGCAGTCTTGGCTCACTGCAACCCCTGCCTCCCAGGTTCAAGCAATTCTCCTGCCTCAGCCTCCTGAGTAGCTGGGACTACAGGCCCGCACCACCACGCCCAGCTAATTTTTGTATTCTTAGTAGAGACGGGGTTTCACCTTGTTGGCCAGGATGGTCTTGATCTCTTGACCTCATGATCTGCCCACCTCAGCCTCCCAAAGTGTTGGGATTACAGGCATGAGCCACCGCACCCAGCCAAAAACATGAGTTCTTTACTCCAAAAACCCTCTTGAAAGTATTAGTTTATACCCAAAATAATATAGGTTTTCAGGCAAATATTTGAAAAGAAGGTTGAAAACAGGGAACCAACACAGTACATTTGAATTTGATTTTATTGTTGTCAAGTGTGCCACTTTACCGGGACTTGGTATAAATGAGAGATAACTGTATAGCACATGTAATTTTCTTGGACTGAACAAAAAAATCAGCAAAGTCACGATTTCTCATTGTGGATAACAAATATACCTGTAGAGACGGTGATGAAGAGATAGAAATGAGTTTTTATTTCCCCTTCCTCATACTGAATTGCCTATAGAATAAGAATAAAATCTAAAGGACAGTTTTTTTTTTTTCTTCATAAAGTAGTATTCATGTTCTATGCTTTCCTGGAAATGTAAATAAAGGTGGAAGCATGTAGAACAAGCTTCAGTATGGCTGGATTAATAATTTAAAAAGGAACTGAAGAGTACATAGAAACATGCACCCTGCCATTCAGCCACCTCTCACCCCTTATTAACATTTGCTGAGCATCAACTTATAACATAAAAAATCAGAGCTCTTAGATCATTTAAAGCAATCTTGCTGTAAATCCCCATGTAGTATTCCTTAAGTGTGAGAACTATAGGTACCCTCAAACACCAGCGTTCAGCTTCTATATAGACCACTTAGCATAATTCTTTTTTCTCTATAGTTTTAAATGTGTGGGAACATGTGATCAGGGTCCTTTTTATATTCAAAATGGGTCAGCTTCTGTCTAGAAAGTGTCTTATTGTCATGATGTCACCACATCTCAAGATTTGTGACCTTTTGCACCATATGGATTCATGGTAGTCCACATCCTAGTTTACAGGCCAGAGTGCTTTTGTGCCCCCGCTAGGGGGTATCAAAGCCTTTTGGACTGGAATTTCAAGTACCGATAGATTTGGAAAAACAAAAAGTAATTTTTATATCCTAAGGACCGCCAGATGTCGCAAAGGCATCATTGATGAAGCGGGTTTTATCCAAAATGTGGCACTTACATAAGGAATACCAGTATTGTGTCTGAGAGTTACAGAGGCCATAACAGGTCAGTGAAATGTCCTTCAAACATCTGATTTTTACATTCAAGAATGGGCCAAGATGAAAAGATAACCACATATCTGACATTGATGTTACTACCATTTAGACAACCGATTCAATTGCCTTAGTCAGTGAGATCAATCAGGCCTTTATTACTTTGAAAAACCACAGAAACGATATAGTTTTTCTTTTTCTTTAAAAATGATGGTTTGGAACTACATCTTACCACTATACTTTAGCTATCACATTAAATGCTTCGTAGAAGCACTTATAAACTTTCGTAACTCCCCCTACCTCCTAAGTTTAAAGCATTTTATGAGATGTACAAAATTATAATAATGAAAGAAATGCTGCTGAGTGAATTTCTGCCGAGCCAAACTGTATGCATAAATTGGCAGTTTAACAAGTAAAACTTGGAAGCAAGCATTTGATGATTGATTTTTTATTGAGACAGAACAAGCATGATAGTGGGTAAAGTGATTTTCCTTATTGAGAGAAAATATAGTGTTTTTCAACATGTCTCTAGTATGAATGGAAGCCTTGTCAAAAAAATGGAGCAACACATAATATCTTTAAAAAGGTGAATTAATATATCACTTATTTTATGGATCAAATTTTATACTTGTCATTTTTATTCATAATGTCATAAAGTTTATACCATAAAGGTAGTATTATTACCTTTGTTATGTTCTGAAAAAAAACTCTGATATTAACTGCTTTGTAAGTATATTATAAAATACCTTCAGTTGAAGAAATGCAGTAATGAAAATTAGGGCCAAAATATGTATTCACATGTAGATCTTCAGCAACTCCCTCCGTAATTTTAAGTACTTGAAATACATTATTCAACAAGTAACCTGCTGTATATCTGTATGTAATTCTCTGCTTGAGAATGCAAGAACTGTCAAGATAAAAATAAGAAGCATGCATCATTCTAATTTAATTACAATTCATCAAAAATTCCTCTATTGTATGTATTACAGGGAACTGTATAAACTTTCTTATAAAAGTAATCATATACTAAAGTTAATTGAGATTTGCTGTTAGAATTTTTATATATTTTCTATTGCTTAAGGAATGTATGTGTTGATACATACATCAACATGTATGTGCACATGCTGAATATTTGATTTATGTGTATTATTTCTGCATCTATTTTATAGTCACATCCATGGGAAAATTTAAATGATGAATATGAATTTCTTTATAGAGAGTTCTTTTCAAGTTTGCAAATGTACATTTATTTTCAATTGTGTTTTCTAGCCATAATTTTAAATTCTACTTAGCTGTGGCTATATTATTCCCACTTGGAATTAAATGTATAATAACATAAGGAGGGCATACTCCTGCTGTTTTTCTGGATTTAATTAGTAGGCAATGTATGAATCCATGGTCCTATTACATTTGAGTATACCATAGGTCCATGTTCTATGTGAAAGATTATCTGTATTTTATTCTAAGACTTTATGTATATTTAACCTTTAATTTGACTAGCAGGTTGTATGATTTACATAAAAAATAGATCAGCTTTGAATTCACTGAATGTTTTCATATAACATAATCAATCATCTCTAAATGTTAATGGTGTTAAAGAGCAATGAGAGCATATGTCTTATATTTGTAATCCTGTGGATTTATGAAATTATTTGGGATGTCTAAGAGCATTAGATCATGGCATTTCTCTGTAGTTAGGGTTCAGAATTTTTTTTAGTGGCAGGTATCATTTTAATGAATTTGGAGAATCGGCCAAATATAAGTGCTTTCTTTTTAAACCAGAAATTACCTAATAGGTACCCTTTTTAAATGATGAATTACCTAATAGATGCCTTTTACTAGAAGATTCTTATGAATAAAGGTATATAGGTAGACTATAATATGGTGCTTAAAATGCTGTGACCTTGTCTCATTTTCTTTTCATTATCTTTTAAAAAATTTGACTTTCATTGGTGTTATCCTGATTACATCATGTACATAATTTCTCAATGAAATAAAAAGTCAATATATGAATGACTGTAGTAAGGGGAAAACAGGATTTAAAATGGTAAAAAAATCTGCTGTGGTAACAAAGACTGAATCAATTCCTCTGTTGTGTAGCAGCTTGATCATATCTTTAAAACTGGTAGTAACAAAGAATATTTATTTGTTGCCATGCTATTGTAGGATTTATTTTTAAACTCAAATCCCAATTATCAAGAAAATTGCATCCTCTTTATCTCACAGAAGGGCATACGGAATCATAGCATATTTGGTTATTGGAACTATAATATTGTTACCTTGCTTAAAACACATGGTCTCTCTTGATATACAAGAAAAAACTGAATCCATTTCAATAAATTAATAGGGATGAGAATCCCAATCCATCCTTCTTTTCAGAGGTTCGCATACATTGTAATGAAATGCATTAGGAGTTTTCTTCACTTGAAATCCAAATGAGACCCATTTTGGCTCACACCCTTGACAGTCTCTTTTATAAGCATTGCTGTCTCCTGTTCTTGTGTGGGCCTAGTAAAATGCTTCCTTTGTAAGATGCACAGAGACAATATAATGCCACGAAAGACGAAGGTGTCAAAACACAAAGTTGGAGGCAATCTAATCAATGCCTCCTGATTTAGCCTTTGAAGGCTCTCTTCATTAAAACTCTTTAATGGTGAGGCTTATCTTGAGGTAGAGCTGTTACTTAATATTTTTCAGTGTCATTCTTTGGACAGTCATTTGTACCTTTTAAATGTATTTTCAGTATTCATTGTTTAGTAAATTGGATGTCTTGTTAGCATGGTGGTGGTATGAATGACTTGCATCAAAATGATTGAAGGTAATAGGGTATAAATTCTTGGTACATTTTTTTCCCTATCCCCTAATCTCCATCTTTCCCTCCAACAAAATATCTTATTTTCTTTCTAAATATCAGGTGTAGGATGCCATTAGACACTTTCTAAAAACAGATATTTAGATGTTTTTTCATATACAAGAATCGGATTGGAAATCTAAAATTAACTCAAAGCAATTAAAGTTTCTGTTTAAACGGAGTGTCTTGCCATTGCCATTCTTTTACTGAATACACTTTTCAAATTAATTTTTTTTTTTTTTTGGTCTGGAGCTTTTGGGAAAAGCATGTAAATCTCACTAAAGTGATGAAAAAAAAATCCCAAATGTCCGTTGCTCTCTTGAATTTTTGTTTCTCAGTAAGTAGATAAGGAATGCTGAGAGATTGGAGAGACATAACACGTAACCAGTTCCAGATAGGGTTGTGAACTTAGGAATTGTCTCTGTATCAGACATCCTTTCAAAATGTTTTATTTTCATAGATGTGAAAATATACAAAATGTTTTTGAATCTTCACTAGCCTCATCCCTCAGCAATTTGTTCAAATTTAATAAATGAAAAACTTATAATTTTTGTATTTTTCTTTTGTACATGAACCAGATGGCATCATGATTTGACAAAATAAAAATACATAGAGGATACATTAAAGAGTATTTTGTTAATGATGTGTGTGAGTGTATCTCTATTTAGACTCATATATTATACGCACACAACGTGTGTTCGAAAGCCATATCCATCGAGCAGTAAATAGGCCTTAGTTTTGTTTATTCACAGAGTATGTAATCCCTACCATAAACAGATGTAACAAATACATATGCCTTTGCATTGGCACATTCACGTAAGCCATTTAAAAAACCCAAGAAATCAGGAGCTTAATTTCTTTTAACATCACCAACTTAAAAAAAAAAAAGTTCACAGAATGCCCTTGCTGTCCTTTCCACCTCAATCTATGATTATCAATAAAAATGAATAATTTATAAAATATGGAAAATAGAAAAGGATAAGCATCACAGAATTTATGTGCAAGGTATCTTGAAAATGGAAAAGAATTCTAGCAACTTTGACCTGATTTTTAAATTATTACAGTGGTGACTACAGCTGCTCTAGCTTAGTAATTATTTGTGATAGGTTGTTTTTGAGTCCCATATGTATAGGAGCTCCAGGCCCAGCTACCTCATTTGCTGGCACACAAACAGATTCTTCCAGGTGCTGAAAATTAAATTTTAATATATTATTTAAATATTAAGAGAATTACAGTTTCAGTAATTTTACTGCTACAGCTGGAGTGCAAGGCATGCCTGTAGAATGCAGAGTGTTGAACAATCTAACATATAGGATGTTTATAGTGATTTTAAAAAGTATTAGCTTATATGTTTAACGGATGTTGGCCCTATTTGGCAGTTAGATTACGTATGAGTAACCTTGATTTAGTCTGGGGACCCTTTGCCCTATTGCAAACTATTATTTATTTGTCTTTTTAGGTTATTTACCTAAAAAACCCTGATTTTTAGGTTATTTACCTAAAAAGACAAACATATCCATGGCACAGAAATTTAAGCTGCTAAAAAGTATATGGATAAGAAATCAATGCCTAATGTGGCTTAGTACATCTGTATTATTCTGTGCTAAAAAGAGTTTTAAAGTCCAAATAATTTTTTAATTTCTTTGGTTTCTACTTTACAATGAGAATGACCTCAAAAAGTTGTTGGCTATCAGATAAAATGCTAACAAACATTTAGTTTTAAGGACCCTAAAAACACATGATTCATCATTAACTTGCCTCTTGAAATTTTTGTGTGGCCTTTAATGTATTAAAGTTGTGTAAAAACCAATTTAAGATAATGTTTATAAAGTATGATGCCTTTTGTTTGGAATTCAGAGTAGGGAATACATTTAAAATAAAATTTTATGTCACAATAATTTGTAATTTAATTTTCTATGATAAAGTCTTGCTCTTCTAGGAATTCTATACCTTCAGTATCACTAATTAAAATGTATTTTCTGTTAAATATGATTTTAACCAATGTACCTTTAAAGAATGGAAGAAAACTAGAAGATGTGCAATGTGTTAATAAACTGTTTACCATGACCAACATTTTCAGAACAAAAGGGTGATTTGCTGCCCTCAATGTACAGTATGAGGAAAAACTTCCCATCAATGATAATCTGTTGCATATGAAAACTGTGTTTTACTAACTAATGTACATTTTGCTAGCAGAATCATGGAACAAGCTGCAAATGATATAATTTCACAGTGGTTAAGTTTACATGCTTTACTTAGACTCATATCTCAGCTCTACCATCTTCTAGCTGTGTGATTTTGAACAGCCTACCTTTCAGTGCCTCACTTTTCTTATATGTAAAATGGAGTTACTTTGTAAGGTTGTTTCAAGGATTAGATGGTTTATCAAATAAAAAACTTCAAATAATAGCTGGCCCAAAGTAATCACTTTATAGATATCAGTTATTTTAGTAGTGGTATTTATATATTTAAAGATAATTTTATTGTTAGCTACTCACTTTGAGTACATGACAAGTAAATAAAATCAAATACTCAATTTTGTAGCTCTCAAAGGGCTTTAGTATTTGTGCAAAAGGTAGCCAATGACCTTGGGGTATTTAACCCATTAAAATAAATGAACTCCTTACCCTTGGCATTTTTACTTTAGATCATAGTAGTAGGCCATTTATAGTTTCATTCATAACTCCAGATACAGCGTGAAAAACTGTGACACAAACTGTCAAATAGTAAAATATTTAACAAAATCTCACTAGGAAAAGTTACATAACTACTTCTTAAATCTCAGAACACATTTTAAAAATATAAGAGTAAAGAATTTGTCAGCCTTTTCATTTTCCCTTCTCCTGTAGCATAATTCTAGAAAGTACTTACTTTTAAAAGTCTTAACTGCTTTTGAAGAATCAGGCTGGTTGAGAAAATTATTCCAAAAAAATTGTGCAAAGTATATTCTGAAAGAAGGATTAAAGTCCATGTAACATAACATTTTTCTTTTGTAAAACATGATTTATGTGTGTCAATATGAGTAACCAATATTTTTCTATTGTAAATCATGAAAGATTTGGAGTGTCTGAATGAGCAATTAACATACATACACTGAGTACCTAGTTTGGATCACAACCATTTTAGGCTGTAGAGGGGTAGATAGACAGCAAGTTGGATAAAATCCTTACTTTCATGAAGTTTACATTCTATGGAGAGCAGACAATAAACCAGTGAATAAATATGTAACATAATGTTGATGTCAAGGAGGCGTAGAGTAGAATAACATACCAGAAGCTGGGAAGGGTGTGGGAAGTGCAGGGGTGTGGGGTGGTGGTGAGGGGGGTGGATGAAGACAGGTTGGTCAATGGGTACAAACATACACTTAGTATTTAAGTTCTAGTGTTCGAAGGTAGAGTAGGGTGACAATAGTTAATAACAATGTATCATATGTTTCAAAATAGCTAGAAGAGAGGACTTGAAATGTTCCTAACACATAGCAATGATAAATACAAGAGGTAATGGATACCCTAAACATCCTAACTTGATCATTACATATTCTATGCATGTAACAAAATATCACATGTACCCCATAAATATGTACAAATATTATGTATCAATAAAAAGTAACATAATGTCAGGTAGTAATAAAAGCTATGAAGTAAAGCCCATACAGATATAGGGTAGGTGCTTTTGAAAGTGGGAAAACCAGGGAAGACATCTGTAAGAAAATATTTGTGTGATCCAAGGGATCAAGCCATGGAAATTTCTGGGGACAAGCACATCATGCATAGGGAACAGCATATGCTATTCTGTTCAGAGACAGAAACAAGCTTCACATAGTCCAGGAAGAACAAGAAGACCCTTAGGACTGGAGCTAAATGAGTAGGGGGAGAGACAAAGGAGAGGAGGTCAGAGAGGTAACCAGAGACTAGATTGAATGGTAGGCTGATTTTGTATGATAGCAAGTCTTTGGAAGGTGTTGGAGTTGAAGGAATGCAATCTGACTTATACTTTAAAAATACTGTCTGACTGCTATAAGAAGCATAGACTCTAAAGGTAGAAAGAGTGGAAATAGAAAAGTTGGAATTAGGTTGATGGGGATAGTAAAAAGTAATTGGACTTTGGCATCTATTTTGAAGATCCTGAGTTAAACAATATGAAAAATAGAACTCAAAAGATTGCTGATAGATTGTGAGATATGAAAGAAACAAATCAAGGATGTCTCCCAGGCCTGAGCAACTATATGAATGAGCATATGATTATTGAGATGAGGAAACCTGGGAGAGAATCAAGTTTTGGGGAAAAATCAAGAATTCTCTTTTGGAGATACTACGTTTGATAGGGCTTTAAGACATCTAGGAAGAGTAGGAGATGGACATAGTAATATGGGACTCAGGAGAGATTGAGGTTGGAATTAGTGGGCTGTAATCAGCATACAGATGGTATTTATAAGCCATGATGGACTTGACTAAAATCATCTTGGATTGAGATCTGGGGGCCTAGGGCACTCCAACATTTAGAAGTTGGAAGGAGGAGGATCCAGTTAGGAGACTGAGAATGGTCACTGGAGTAGGAGAAAAACTAGCAGAATATGGTGTTCTGAGAGCCAAGTGAGGCTCTCAGGGAGAGAGGGAGTGATCAAGGGACACTATTTGTCTCCTTTGAGTCACTTGTCACTTCAAACACAAATGTTTACAGCCAGCCCCTGGCTTCAGACATCCCTATCCTTGTCAGTCACCACACTTGGACTTATTTCCTTTCCCTTTATCTCTCATCAATATCAAGCCTGGTGCTATCATCTACAGAAATATATCTTCCTTACCCACTGGTTTCTCATGGTGCTTCTCACTTTGCCCTGGTGTTAGTTTAGGGCTGACCCAGGACAAGCTTTGTGGGGACAAGGAGGGGTAGTATTATGAAGAAAAAAATCCGTCTTCAGGCTCTCCTCTTTTCCTATCTGTTGCTGCTGCCACAATGCCAACGTTCCTGGTCCTGTCCTACTTCCTCAACTTCTTCCAACTTCCTGCAGATCCCAGCCTGCTTAGTTCTTCTATGTAACGTTATGTTGGCTAATAATTATTGACCTTTTACTATGTAGCAGAAAATAGCAAATTTAGTATTAGCCTTTACTCTTCCTGATCTGTTGAGTCTGTTTCTTTCCTGTAAAAGGAAATAAATTTGCATCTGTTCTCTGTGCTCTCAGAGCTCAGACCATTGTACCACCTCCCCTTTCCTAGTCTCCAATAATTGGTGGAACCAGTCTGGCTTTAGCAAGGACAGATGTGCATTTTCTACAGGAAATTATTTTCCATATATGGCTACTAATTTCTACAGTAAATTACGAGTCAGATGGCTTTTTTCTAAAGTAGCCTTATCCTACTTCATCGTATTAATATTATTTGTATGAGAAAATGTATTTCAATTTCTTATAATCAGTTTACTAATAAAATTTCAGAAAATAATCCACTACAATTGAAGAATGGTTTTGTGTATTTATAGCCATCTTGCCTAATTTTATATCTATCATATAATGTGCATACATATACCTATAAATGCTTATATATAATCTATAATAGACTAACTACTAATGAGTCTATATTTAAATTTTCGGAAATGTGCAAACTAGACATTTTACACTGAAATAAACTATTCTATATTGCTTTTAAATTGTTTTATTAATTTTAACTTTTTGAATTATAGAACTTTAATTTTTGCCTTTGACTAATTCTCTCTCTAATCTTTTTACTTTCTAAATTAATGAATTTAAAAGCATATTCCACTGCAGAAAAAAATGGTATATAAGAATTGGGCATTTGTTTTTTTAAGTTAAATATTTTATAAAAAGCAAACCATTTTTATAAAAAAGTAATGTTTTTAAAAATTAATGTTTCATATTTTAACATGAGGCATTGTAAGATTAAATTAGTTATCCACACTTGATTCATATAAATTTGAAGATTTTTATGGAAAATGTAATTTATAAAATCAATAGGTTTGATTTTCATTTAAAAAATATAGACAATATAAGGTTTAAATGCAATCTACATATATTTTAAAGCACATTCGTATTTATCTCATTTTCACTGCACAATAACTGTAGGACGAGGGCTGATATTATGATCCCTGTTTCATAGATTAAGACGTTATGACTCAGGGAGGTCACTTAAGGTCTGGGTGCTAGTGAGAAATGTTTGACCCTGTCATTCTGATTCCAAATCTAAGTCTCTTGCCACTGCCCTGTGCTGCCTTATATTTTCTGAGGTAAATTGTCTTTAAGTTATAGCCCTGGAGTTGTGCAATGCAGCATAGGCTTCAGTAACAATGTGTGTTTAGCTTTCATTTTGGCTTGCTGGACACTTATGGAGCTGATTTAAGCCTTCAGCGCCAAAGTCAATGAGACTCTCTGTGTTTGGAGTAGATCTGTGCAGTGCTGAGCAAGAAAAGAAACTGGCATCTTCATGCTTTGTATTTTCAAAATATTTTAAACACTGAAAGGCAGGGCTTTCTTTTCCCAACTCAGCATGGTAATATGGTACTCTGGTGAGTCGTATGTAACATCACTTATGGATAGTTATTTCCATCAGGGAAATGGCTCAGACCTTGGAAGACCAGGAATATATTGAGGGTTGTGACTTCTAGGCACTTAGATGATTTTTACAGTGGTGGGAAGGAAACCACCTGGATTCACACTCCCTTCCCACTTGAGGGTTGTGACTATTGATAAGTGAGAAGTGAAACGTGAGTGTTCTTTCTCATATCTTACTATCTAGTTTAGGCATAGGAAAAAGAAACAAAGACACTCCTGCTTTCCTTTCCCTCTTTCTCATATCACTTGTCATCAGGAGTCATAAAGTGGAAGGTAAATGAAATCCTGTACTTTCAAAAATGGTTTTGATTAGAGGTCTGAAAGGATGTATAACCAATTGCTGGTGGTTCTTTTAATACAGGGTGGTTAGCTTTGGAGATAAAGGGACACTTTCAATATTTTTTGGTTTTTGTGCGTAAGTATGAATTACCTTTGTAATTAAAAAAACAATAAAATAAACTTTTAAAAATTGCATTTAATCACTCTGAAAGGATGCAAAAGCATACTGCCCCAACTCAGATGAACAACTAAAGCCTGACGGAGGAAGATACATCCTCCTGATTCAGAGTGGACTGTTTCTATTAATATATGACTCTCAGGACAGCCAGATGGGGTGAGGTTCCTGCCTGGACCTCCTAGGTATGTCCTCACCTTCCAGAGAGCTTTAGGAGGCCACAGCCATCAATGTGAACTCTGAAGTAGATTTGGATTTACTGTCTTCACTGTGGATTTTTGATGAAGTAGATTGGAAATATAGTTAAAGGGAGACATGTTCACTTACCAGTAGAAGCTAAGATGTTCTTTGCTAGTCCCCTGCAGTGTTTCATATAAGGTTTTTTTTTTTGGTATTATAGAAAATATTATACTTCAGTTTTTGAGGAAAAAAGTAATATTTCAGGTGGTTTAGTAGTATAATATAGAATAAAACTTTTAATACTCATATTTTATTTAGGCCATAGTAATAAAATTTTTATTTAAAGTAATAGTAAAAGTATAGAAATTCATAACTACTAATGTCTTAGGTTTAACTTTTTTTCTATCTTTTTGCTTTAAACACAAACTTTTTAAAAATATATAAATGTAAAAGCCATATATAACACGAGATGGCGTGTACTACAGACACTCATTACCATTTGGATTTAATTTAACCTCGTTGTTCATTATTTTGTATGCTGACATTCTAAAATTTGAGTAAGATCCATTTCCTTCAAACAAACCCAAAATACACATGGATTTGCTTGATTTTATTATTGTGACTGGCTTAACTCAAAATTAAAGGAAGTAGCACCCTTGCCAGTTAATATCAAAAAGTTAAGTTCTGCATTCTGACACATAACACCGTGAACAACAGATACAAAGAGCTGAACAATGCTAAAAACAAAGTTTAAGGAATAGAAAAATTTGGTTTGTTTCTAGTAGCCCTCTTTGTAATGCGATTACACATTATGGCAGATCCTTGAAGCTATCAAACTGTACAGTAATTTTCATTGTTCTCTAAGCCCCACATGGTATGACTGGGGGAAATAATAATTAATATAACTGGAATTGTATAGTCATGAATAAATTAAGTTTTAAAAATAACTACAATTTATGTCACATAATGAAGTACTTATTTTTATTTTTTCCTTGTATTTCGACTAACATACTAAGAATTTGAAAGCTATTGTAAGATGATAGTGGACTATAAAACTTAGGCTCACCATCCATCCCTTTTTCTCATGCTCAGTAATTAAAAATGGCTATGGGCATTTTTTATCCACTGAGATTTACCAACTGCTATAGCATTCAACATTTATAGAAGGATTTCTACACCCGCTTTTTAAAAAATGAAATAACCAAATATTACAGCAGCTTGAAGTGGTTTCTTAAAAAAAATAATAAGTTTACCTCTAGGCCTCTGATTTTCAGCAGATAGAAAGCGCTATCATTAGCCTACCATCCATTTTAATTTGAAATCCTAAGAACAAAAGTCATTAATAAGTCCTTTGTCATGGATTTTAAAAAAGAAGACGCCTTTTTAGTATTTGTATGTCATCATGCCAGGCCTAGAAAATTAGGCTAATTTATTATTTAAAACACTGGTGGGATTCCTAATTGCATTCATCATTAGATATGACACGTTTAGAACTGAGAACCATATCCAGTGAGAATTTTCCAGTTTGAATTTTGAAATAAAAATATTTTTCAAGAGATCCCTAGCTATTGCCTGTTACCATGGCAACAGTCCTATTTGTCTGAGAGCTCTGTCCGCTGCCAATGAGAGAGAGAGCAACGTCAACTAAACATACGAATACATCAAAGACAAATTCATATGCTCAATCTGATCAGCTCAATTAATGTAAGAACAGAAGCTGAAGGGGGTTAAAAGAGGGCACCCATTCAGGAGAGATGAAGCCCCTTTTAGCAGAATATACACGCCGGCCTTTTGGGGGAGGAATTTAGCACACTGTCAAAAACATTATCAGAAAAAGAAAGTAGTAGGCCTCCTACACCTAACAGATATGAAGCTGTCAGACAAAGAATAGCACTATTCATTAAATGACACTTATTTTCTCCCACTTTACAAGAATACAGCGAACAAAACAAGCAGGGGAGCAGCTGAGAAAGACACTTTTTTCTTTTGCTAGTGATGACAGACATGCAGCAATTATGGTGATAACTGAGGAATACTAAACAAGAAGCCAGCTTCCATTCTGTTTATCACCTTAAATTTTATGTTACTAAATTTGCATGCAACTCCTGTTTTGTTTTATTATTTATGTCTGGGAAAAATTAGATGCCTTTGTTTTTAACATGGTGCCTTGAGTTTGGTGCAGCATACCTCTAAACTCCATGCATTCTCTCACTTTTCTTGTTAAATGGCCACATCAAGTTGAAATGCTTTTGAAGTAAGACATTTCCAAAGCACAACAAAACTGCTGTTATCCATGTGAGGTGTATGTGGGGCTTGGTAGTCTGGGTTCATTAGTGTTAGGAGAGAGATATATTGCTTCTGCACATTTTTTGAAGGAATAGAGCAAAAAGTTATATTAATTGCCACCTTTGCTTTCATGCTTCATTGTACATGGTGAAATGTGTTACAGCATATGTGTATGTGTGTTTAATAGATCCTTCTTTTTTCTTCAGAGAAGTTGAAGGTGGTAGGTAGTAGAAACTGTCTTGCAGGGTTTATAACAGGTGCAGGCAAGTAGAAGTTCCCCTGAGATAGCTGCCTTTTAAGAATCTTATGTTTAAACCATGATGATCTGATTTAAGGCCCATTATCAATAGTCTGCTACTTATATCTGCATGATCGTGGACTGATTGATACTGACTTTGTAGCCATGTGCTCCATAATGCGCTGTCAGGAAATGCTGACAGATGCAATGAAAGAACAATAAATGTGGGGCAGCCGTAAGGTAAAGGTCCAGCTAGGCTGTATGAAAACTGATAGCTAGGATATTGGCTCCTATGTTACCATATACACCAGTACCTTTGAGAGTTTAGCTGGTGAGTGAATTAAAATGGTCTCCTGATACCCAGGAGGGGGGAAAATAATCTTCATTTAAGGAACTTGCCGACTTTGCCAAAACATTGCTTTATAAGAACAGAGCCAAGATACAAAAAAAAAAAAAGAAACCTCCCTTATTCAAAAATCTAGGCATGTCTGACACATCTGAGAAAGTATTTCGTAAAAATCAATACACAAAAAGAACACTGTATCCACTCTTGATGATACTTAATCCATTTGTATAAAATTACAAAAGGAGACATTTTATTAGAATTCCTGCTTTAAATGTATGGCATTTGACACTACTTAAAAAAAATTCTTGATCTTCAACTTTGTGCATGAAGATAGCTGGCATTTTGCCAGTACAGGTTTTTAACAAATAACTAGGATAAGTCAATTTATTCATATCGAGCCGTAAAAGTTACTCTCTTCTCCCTAGTCTTAAGATGTAGCTCTGAAAGCAGTTGGATTGGACTCTAACTCAATACATTATCACACCTTTTCTTGCTCACATATTGCTTTACAGATACCCTCTGTGTTCTTAAGTACCACTTAATAATTACCAGTATTTAAAGATATAATGAACATTCCAAGATTGATGTCTCAAAGTAGACTCCTAATACATTTTAACAAGCCATTTGTTCCAAAATTTATATTTATTATATAACTTCGAAAATAAACATAGAATCTGATACCAGACCTTAATTTTTCCTCCTTTGATTAGAAAATGTAGAATGTAATGTATACTTATGTATTTTCAATGTTGAGCCCCTGTGGTATCTACAAGCTGTGTTGATAATTTTGATTCGTGTCCTTCAGGAAAGAAAGTAAAGAATATTTTCTTTATTTACAGAGTTATCAAAAATGTTTTGGGGGACCCTTTGAATCTAATTTGATTTAGGAGGAGTTTGTGAGAATAATTTGACCCGGTGAATTTAATGTTTGCTCTAAACCTTTTTATGGTATTAATTTGCCACATTTAAAATAACATTGAAAAACAAATTTTTAGAATGAAAAGATATAGTTAAATTTGAAAGATGCTATCTTCTGAGGGTGCTCAAAGAATGTTCTAAGCAGATCATTGACAAAACATGCCGATGACTGTAATTGTGTGAATTCAAGAGAATGAGTTTTTTTACACCATATTATTGACATAATAGATTGAGTCATCATTGCTGTCTGATATGCAAAAGCGTGCTTAAGAAGTCTTCTGTGGATCATCTTTAGAACGCAAAATATTGACACAATAGACAACAATGGCTCCTTTGGAGCCATTAGGGTCCATCATTTCAGGGCCTGCTCAGGCATTTCTTAGCAGGTAGCGCACAGACTCTTGACATGAGAGATCATAACAAGTCCAAAGGAATAATACTCGTTTCTAAGATTATCTCATACTTGGGAATTTCATAAGCTATAATTTATTAAAATTAGAACATATTATCACCAATGTGAATTTTAAATTAATTCATTAATTATATGCTATTAGTAACAAACATTTTATGCACACACACACACACACACCATGTATATTATAAACTGGATAAACAAACTATATCACATGCAGTTATTTATACTTTTCCCTGTGTAAGAACTTGAGAAGTCCACACTGATTGTTATGAATATTCATAAAAAGCAATTCATTCTCAGCCTTATACCTTTTATGCCAAGAGTCAGCCTGGAGCGAATTTTTAACGTCCACAGCATAGACCTTTGAAAGTAGATGTGCCTAATGGAGAGAGTGACACTGACTCTGACAGGCAGGAGCTCTGGAGCTCTGGTGGGCACCCATATAATTAGATCTTTTGTGTGGTCTTGCTAGCTAAGGCAGAACTTGAGGTTTTACTAACAAAATCTTTTGAAAAGAAACTTCATTTCCCCCAAAGTTTAGGTTATTTACCACGTAAAGAAATAAAAACAAAATCTGCAAATAAAAACTCCCTGGTAGTTTTAGATGATTTGTATTATCTGCAGAGTGAAAGATGAAGTGAGTGATGTTGGATTGGCTCGTAAGGAGAGCATCATGCTTTTTCTTTTCGTGTGAATAGTTTTATTGTGTTGAGATTAGAGACAAATAGAAATTATATTATACAATGTGGCAAGCCATTAGCTTTTCATAAAAAGAAATTTTATCTACAGTGAAAAGCTTTTGATCTTAGAGACTTTCTAAAAAGCTTTTTAAGTTTGATTTTTTGGTGGTGTTAGTTTGTTATTTGGTGTAAGTGTCAGTATTTTTGTAAAGAAATTATGTCAGGTAGTTTTGCTATTTGCGTGGCAGTATGAGACATTTAAAGAATGTCCTTTTTGAATTTTCATTTTAAAAATATAAATTCAGCTTATTCTTCAAAGCTTTAATGAATGTAGGTTTGAACAAGACCATATATAAGAAATATAGTTTTCTAACTTTTATTAGTCACAGATTCGTCCCCCTGCTCTTTTATGTTTTAAGGTTCCAAGCAATACCATAAGCTTCAAAAAGAACAACAACAACAAAAAAAAAACCCAAAAAACAAAAATCCAAAAACAAAACAAAGCAATTGCTTTGAACTGACAAACCCATTTTAATCTAGAAAATTCCCTTTCTCCTTATCTTTAATACTCTTAGAGAATTGGAATAGGCCAATGAAGTTTCTGTTACTGAAAAAAAATGCAATGGCATAAACCTATTGCACACTGGAGGTCACCCTTGCTATTTACAATTTTTCTACAATTTTACAAAACAAAAGTAGACCCTGCATGATTTTAATGCACACTACAGTTTTCATGATACTTTTGGTATAAATACATGGATGTTATATGTCTTCTGTGTATAGTTAGTCGTATTAAGTGCAATTAAGGAACCCATTATGAAAATCTTATGGCTGTCTGATTTTTCTGATGAAATAAGCAAATGACAAGAAGCTTTTCAAAACAAACTTAGGAGCCTTCACTTTCATTATATATTATACATAATGGTTTTTGAAAATCCTTTCAAATTGTTATAACAGAATTCTAGAGTAGAGTTCATATGCACTGCTTATTCAATAATTTGTCAGATATATTTTTACTACATCATTCCTGCAGATAGCTTTACCCTAGTTGATACTTATGACTTGTTGTAGATAAAATTACTTCTGTAGTCCTTTTATGTTCACATTATTTATTGTGGTATGCTTAATAGTTGATTATGTTCTATTGTTTTCCCACCACATTACTTTTATGTCTTAATATTCATTCAAAACAAAATATGACATGATTTTACTAAGAACAAAAACTATTTTAAAAAATATAAGTAAGTCATATATGAACATAAAATTATTAAACTAATTAAGAACTCTGGTTTTGTAAATATCTCAATGACAAAACATGAAATAGAAGAAAAAAGCATTTAGTCTATATCTTGAAGCTATTCAAAATAGGAGCCAAAGATAGATCGAGGAGAAGTGCCTGATCCCGTTTCAGTAAGAACATTCTGAGAATGTGAGGGATTATCCTCTGGGAGCTGTAATGAGCAAAATGTGAAGTTTCAGGTGTACCTCATCACCAACTGGCAATGAGAATAACAAGAAATAGAGATAAAGCTACCTTTTATCTATTTTCCAAAGGATGGAATAGGAATACCATGAATTTTTCTTGATGCATGTTAACTTAGTATATGTGGCCAATTTTTTTCTCACAATTTTTATAGCACTTTTTAGTCTTTAATTAAAAAGATCCTTACAATTTCATAAACACTGAACATAATATGTCAATTATCTGGTGCAAAGGTTAGATGTCAGAAGTGAGTTAAAATATGGGAAGATGCTTTTAACAGATTTATATGAGATAACAAGATCAAGGGAACAGAGGGAAACCACCAGATTCCCCAGCTAAATAGAATCCTAAAGGCATCCACGGATATCTGTCCACAAACAGAGCACCTCAACCCCTCTCTGTTATTTATACTGTGTGAGGTTTCATGCACTCTCCTTGTCCCTCTCTGTTTAGGACTCATTGGAGGGAACCGATGAACCATACAGCAAGATCCAGATGGCTGATTTTTACAAAGAGGGGCAACTGCATAGCATCTTCTTTTCTCACTTTCCTTTCTGAGATGTTGCCACTGTCGTATCCTATGCCTGAAACCCCCCTTTTTAATGGAGTGATTGTTATTGAAGGCTCAATGCTGAGTGCCTCCGTAGAGGCTTTCCCAAACACTCTTGCACTCATGAATTTGTCTTTCCTGAACAGCATAGCACTGAGTGTGCTACTCATTTTGGATTTAACATGTGCATTTTTGGGGTTTTAACCAGAAACTGTGTGCTTGGCTTTTTCATCAGTGAGTTTGTATACCCAGTTGCAGCAAGTTCTGTCTCTTTTCTCCTGTAATCCTCACTGTCCTGAGCAGAACACTGGACACTGAACAGCTGGAAGTAATCTCTCCCTCCTCTGAACTCTCACAGCACCTCCTCTGTACCACTTCTTTGTGGCTTATCACTTCATACTTTATATTACAGTTATTTGAGAAAGTGTTTTATCTCCTCGGCTAAAATGAAAATTCTTTGGGGGCAAAACTATGTCTTATGCATCTTTATATCCTACACTATCATCACCACAACAAACATACTTAGCACCATGTTTTCCATTAAATGTTTCACCAACTTAACTCACATTTATTGAATAACTTGCTACAGAGCACTATGCTAGTTCACTAGTACAACACAAAGTATCATTGTTTATACATGAAGGAGCCTACAGGACAGTGATTGAGAGAGAATTGAATATGACTAAAGAAAAGCAAATAGAGCACACTGAATTGTGGCTGAGAATTAAAGTAGCCAGTTTCAAGCTTCCAATTGGAAATTTGGTAAGTGGTTGCTGTATGTTACCTTTAAATCCAATTTCAATGGAATGATCTATGGCAAAGAGTTCTCCCTCTGGAAGGAGGAAAACGGCCTGAATGGAAAGGACTTTTTATTCAATCCCATGCCACCAAAAGGGGCAATGACTGAAAGACCTCTTAAGATTGAGCACCTGATTAGATCTAAGGCCAAATGGAAGGAGACACTGCACAGTGCCAGTACTCATATATTTCTTTAATGAATGAATGAATGAATGCAGATACTCACTCTATTTATTGACTGAATGAATCATCAACAATCTCATTTTAAAACATGAGTAATCTTTGTATTCAGCAGGGAACTTTGAGCTTCATTTGTTGAAAATCTTATAGAGTCCCTTGAATTTATGTATACATTTCTCTGTATAAATACATGTACCATTGTGCTTTGAATATGATCATGATAAATTCCATTTCCTTCTGGGATTTTACTATTTTTCCTTTACTTTAAGCCCAGTAACTGAGTGGCTGCTTGATCTTTAAAACCAATACTGGATTGAGAGCTCCTTGAGAGATGAAACTGCATCTAATCATTCTCTCTCCTGTAAGTGCTTAAATTCTAATTTAAATTTGATTTAGATTAGAAAATAATTTCCAAGTGTGATGGATATAATGCATGGTGTTGGGTTTTGAGAGGTCATGGAGTGACTGCCCCCACAGTACCAGAGGTCAGAGTATTTTGCCCTTAGCAGAGACACTTGATAAATGTTTGTAGAATTTCATTTCATTTTCCCAGGACTAACACCTGAATATGTCTGTGTTGCAGTGATGCTGAAAGATTTAGTATTGAAAAACTCTTTAAAATCCTCAATCACTCTATTCCAAATGATTAAACTCTTGCTTATCTGCAGTGAAAAAGACTCATGTTCTTTGATCCTGTAGATCTTTTGGTCTACCAGTGGTAATTTTATTCTTAGTAGCTTATTAAAGATGTGACATTATAATACCAACCAATAAATATTTCCTCAGAGTCCTGAGAGTGTGTTTCCAAAAAGCACTATAGGAACTAAAAATGATAGGAGGAATGCTCCTTCCTTCAATATTACCATCTTTGGAAGAGAACAAATTTTAAGATAACGAAAATATAATATATGGTGGAATAAGTACCAAATGACAGAGGATTCTGTGGGGATCCAGAGGAAGACAATCTCTGTTTTCGAGGTGGAGTAGTTATCATCTTATCTGGGAAGAAGTAGAATTTGACCTGCAATTTGAAGGAAGAAACTTCATCTAGATGGGTGAAGATTTACAGGGATAGTTGTTAGTGTAGAGCAAAAGATGCGAGCAAGGAGCCAAAGATGAAAAAAAAGCATATCGCATTTTGGAGACCATGAACAAATCATTTGTTGAAATAGAAGAAATCAAGGCTAGAAAGATAGATTGGAACCAGGTCACAGTGGGCCTTATATTCCACAGAAAGGACTATTCCCTTGATGTCTTGGGCTTTGAGCACAGTGACAGGGTGAACAACTTTTCTGAAATTTGAATTATAAAACCATAACAATTGAAGAAACATCAGAGGGTGACAGGGGCATAGGTACTATTATAGGCAGCCAAAACTAAAGTGAGGGGAAAAGTAGATAGTTGCAGCCTGTCAGGCACAAGGGAAGAAGCAATGTAGTTAGAAAAATACGGTACTTTAAATGAAGTTTTCTTTTTATAATTCTCTTTCCTTTCAAAATCCACAACCTCCCGCACCTATCTTTTATTTTATGAAAAAGGAAGAGTTGATCTAAAGACTATCAGTGGTAAATAAGGGAATGTAGAGCATCTAGAAGTTTGTAAAAAATCCACCTGAGAAGATATGGGTAACAAGATATCATATTACATTATTTATCAGAATCTTGAGGGAATGAGTAGCAAGTGTTGGTGTTTGTCAGAATTGCCTGTAGAGGTGGGTATAGATACATGAACCTAAGCCCTACGCATCATGTACCTATTCCAGAATGCCTGGTAATGACGTTCGGGTATCTCTATTTGTAATCAGCTCTATAGATGATTTGAATGATTTGAAAATGATGACTATCATGTGTTCTTTCTATTTTTCTCTCTTCACTTGTTATTAAGGCAATTAATCACATGGACAATTACGGAAAGAAATGAGGGCTGCAACATCCACACTTGAGGATTGATATCAGTATTGCTCGGTATTGTTATCAATCAGTATTGTTAATGATATCTTTGATAATTTCCCTCTAATATCTCTATATTTTCCTCAAAATAATCCCTTAAATATTATTGGGGTGAAAATAGTTTATCTAAGTAACTTTACCAAGTTTAACTGAGGGCTTAGTACAGTGATAGAATTCAATTGTCATCCTACCTATCTGGTCAGGATTCCTAGCATCCTATAAAGTAAAGTATTTCATATTCATCAAAAGTTCTAATGTGACATTTCTCCCGTGTGAAAAAAGTATGAATGGAACTTACACAACTTTTTAATATGGTGCTGGATTTTTCTCAGGGAGTTCATTATACTAAATCATTTTGTCAATTTTTAAATGATGAGGGCATATCTTTTCCAATGTATCATCTTCCAATGTACCAAGTTTAGGATTTTATACTTATAATGTTGTACTTACTGGTCTGGACAGCTCTATAAAGTAATGTAATGCAAAATATTATTGATTTTGGGAATTAGTGATATAATTAATTTTCTAGAAAATAAACTCTGAAATTAGATTTCACATTCCCCCTTTTTTTTCTCTAAATATGAGTCGACATATGTAAAAACCAGTCAGGTGGCCATAGCTATTTTATATGTAGTTATTTTATATATATCGCTATTTTGTTTTATTCATTATTTTGTTTTCACCAAACTTTAGGAATTTTTAAAGCATTAAGATCTTGGGCCATTGGAGAGGTGGGGGATGGTTCATGGAGAGATAATAATGTACATATTCTTTCAATAGGTAGGAGGTAGCTAAACAAGTTTTAAGTGTACTATAATTTTCATTGTGACAAGTTCGCTATCACTTATTAACATTAAAAGTAATTGCGAGTTAGATGCTAGCTCTGTTTCTGGCACCATCTGAGTCTCCTGATATCTTCAGATCCTTCTATTTGGAACTTGCATAATCACCTTTTACATTCACAAATAAGTTACTGAGTCTCTGATGATAGTCATGAAAACAAATTTTAATTGAGTTTGGCATGTCAAAACCCTTTCTTGGGTTTTATGTTTGATGTACCATGCCACATTTTCAGTGAATAAAAACTGCCTCCTTGCATATTTATTATATATTCTCAGTTAGTGAGATTTTGTTACACAAGCAGTCACCTTATTATTTTTTATACGTGCACTTTGATATCACAGTGTTTCATTGTCAATTGACGTAATGTATCAGAAGTGGCACAGCTAATGAGCACACAGTTGCCTTTAGCTCATTTTACATCGTGAAACCCTACTGGGGAATAGGCTGTAAAACTTGGTGGAGGGGTTCTGACATTTTATAAATGTCATATGTCAATCCTACATTGTGATGGCTGTGAAACACTGTGTGCTGATGGTACCATAGTCATATGATAGACCATTTTCACTAGCAGGCACTAAAGAACAGGGTGTGTGTGTGTGCATATGTGTGTGAAAGAGATTTCTGTTTGCAAGTAAACTTTAAGCTTTTTGGCCTGTGTATAGGAATTAAGAAAGATTGGTCATTATTTTATTAATATAAATTAGTAGAGACAAAATCTTGGTGACAAAATACAAAATGTGTTATGAAAACTTAAATTCCACTTTTCTATTCTTAAACACAAAGAATATTTTGATCTTAGAACAATAATTAAGGTATTTTCTGTTTCCATTAATCTAAATTGCAATTTGTATTGGAGGAGTAAAAAGTCAGGGCATCTTATTTAAACTTAGCCTTTTTTAAAGGTATGTTTTAAAAACTTGTTTATGGTATAAGGTGTTAACAGGTAATTTGGTCAGTTATTTCTTAGTGCATGAGGGTTTGGATTTTTTGAATAAAGGAAATTGCATTATCAATTGCAGAATAACAAATGTAGTTTCATTTGTATTGCTTCTAGGAGTTTATGAACCATATTTTGTCTTGTGGTAACTAGAATTATGAACTTGGAATGTCATAGCAAATGATGGCTGGGGTATTTTCAGTTCTGAAATGTTTTTATTTGTAAACTGGTTAATTTAGTATTCAAATATACTTATTTTTTAAAATAAAAAATTTATTTCCTCTGAGGCCAATTGTATGTGTCTGTGTTTACTGTTGTCAGAGGTCCTTTAATGGCTCACTTTGGCCTCTGTTGTGACCAACCAGAAAGCAAAGAGAGGACAAAAATGGAAAAAAAAAGATATAGGCTGTGAAACTGTGGTGAAAGGGGAAATAATAACAACACAGTTAAATGAGATTCGGCGAGTCTTCTGATCTGTGAACATTTTTATTAGAAACATTTGTCAACCAGATCGGCATCTTCCAGTGTTACCTCTTCTCTAGTTGATACGGGTCACCCCCCCTCACCTGCCGTATTATTCCCTCTCTTGCCAGGCTAAAAGCAGTAGCAGCACTGCCCTGCAATTATGTAATGTCTTATCATTGTCAGGACACCTTCACTTACAACAATCCCTGCCATACACTTATGCCACAGGGAGGCAGGCATTATTTTTTCTATTTCAGAGAAACGACTTGTCTTCGTTTCATGTGACTAGTAAGAAGCAGAGCCAGCAATGTCTCATGACTTTTATCATTTCTAGCCCAGTATTCCTTCCACCACACAAAGTATTTGCCCCATAAATATATTCAGGTTTCTTCCCATGCTAGAGATTTTTATGCAAACTTAATAATTAATAACTTAAAGCAAAAGTGGGGTTTATTGAAAGTTTTCTGGGCCAAACAGATGTGCATCTTCTGAGTCCTGTCTTCTGGGCATGATCTAATATTGAATGCAGTATTTAATGATTATCATTCAAAAAATGAGGCGAGAAATCAATTGCTTTGTAAAATCATGATAGTATTAAGCTACAGCCTTTTTAATGAATCTCTCTGTGGCCAGGCCTCACCATGGTGACTTGAGTGTGTGGCACACCTTGGGAACTCCTGTTCGATTTTATCAGGGACAGGATGAATAGTGGTGCAGGGGAGCCTCACCATGGAGAGATTGCCACAGCTTTTCCCCTGTTCTCCTAGGATCCACTTAATGCGTTTACTAATTATGTTAGAATTGTGAAATTTAGTGGAAAGGACTGTGGGAATGAGTTGTTTTTGTTGTGATGACTCCTTTAACTTGCCAACTTGAATTTGAACCTTCTACTTTACAGGACCCCAATTCTTCTTTATACAGAAACAAATATATATTTCTAAGTTTTAAAACTTCCCACTCCACAATTTAAAATAGCTTTTGTGAAATTTTTACTGAGAAGGCCACTTAGTGGGAAACTCCAGCATCATATTTACTAATAAACACTGATATTAGAGCTAGCAATTTGTTTATTTTTTAAAAGGGTGGTGGTTTGTTTCTTTTTCATTGCCATTGAAATTATCCCTAATATATGGACCAGTTGTCTTGACTGAATATAGTAATATATGTTTTAATACTTTTTCAAATTTTTAAGTAAAATTTGGTTTTAGGATTCCTACTTTTATATTTTAAATTTGGGATTAAATATTAGTTTTGAGATATTGTTGAAAAAGTTTTAAGACATATTATAACTTGAAAAGATTTAGAAAATTTCCATGTTAAGCTGAAAATTATATTTCTATTAAAACTAGGTAGCATTGTAAAAATTGTGTGTGGTAAAAAAGTTAGGCCTCAGTTGTTTTTCTTCTTTTTTGTTATCTAGTTGTCTCCATAGCAAATATGTGTATATGCAATTGTGTGTTGGTTGGACTTATGAGTAATGTAAACAATGTGTCTAGTGTTGAAGTGCTTCTTATGAACATCTTCTTTTTAAAAGTAAGAATAATATTAGTTTTACTTTTAAGTGTATGTGTTACCTGACATAGCTTGTTACTGCTCTATCATCTGAAAATAATTGTAACTTATAACTTTCATTTCCTTTAAATGAAGAAGGCAACAATTTGAAAGTATCATTTTCTCATGAAAGCTAAAAATAAGAACTTTGTTTTTTGGCAGTATTGTTATAAATAATCTGCCTAAACTATTAACTGTAAATACATTGTTAGAGATGTGCCAAGAGGAGACAACCCATTACATTTTCTTTGTTTAAAACTATCTAGTTCTGTTGTTGAGTAAGACAATTTATTCATACAATCATATAAAAATCATATTTAATAAAGAACAATCCAAGGCAAAGAGAAAAAAATGTCTTTATCCATAAGCAACCAGATGAGAAATGGATTTTTATTCAGTCAGATCCTTTTAGTCAATGAAACAGCATTTTCATGCATATTGCACACAAGTGATAATTAATATACTCTAATTCGGGACATGATGCTTGAATTGATGTACTGTCATCAATACCCCGTGTTAAAATCAAACCTTGACAGGGGTTTAACACCCTGGAACAGGTCATCATATATAATACTCTTTGCCTCTCAGTATTTGTCTTCAACCAAGCAAAGTATTACAAGATGGGGTAAGAAAAAAAAGGGAAATAATTACAAATGAAGAGTGACGCGGGCTGTGAATAGAACATATGTTAGGCTAGGCAGAGGCATCAGTGAATTATATCATTTCATGATGAAGCGCAACTGGGGCTGAACGGGCCTATTTTAAAACTTGATGTATTTTATCTCTACTGTATTTGGACTGTCATCTTTGGAGAAAGACTTGGTATAATTGAGAGTCAACTCCAATCTGCATGACTCAAGCATGAAGTGGGGGCCAGATGAGCTCTGCTATGGAGGCCAGGGAAGCTTCTAATAAGATAAAATGAACAATCACCTTTTATGCCTTTCAGTTACAAATGCATTCGGTGAATACAGTTTTCAGAGTTATGGCTTCCAAATGTCACTGATATTGCAAAGTTTAGGAAGTATTCTGATAATTAAGATATAAAAGGAGACCAGCTCATTTGAACACTCATTTTAGAGGGATAAAATCAAAACCTGTTTTATGTTAGTTAGTCTTTCTTTGTGAAAACCTATTAGATGTAATCAGCATAACTTGGTCATAATGTGTTTTCATTATGTTTGATTTTATTTGGCTATTTTATGAAAATCCTTGTCATTTTTGCATATATTAGGCTAAATGTCCTTTAACACCCACACACATGCCTCTTCTTTCCTGAAATTTATGGTGATATTTTCTGCCAGAAGAAATCACTCACTTCTCTGAATACGTTAAGTACTTAGTCTCACAACTGTGCTCCATATTTCACAATGTTTTCTGTTTTAAGCACTCATATACAGGGTTTATCTCATCAACTAGGCTAAAATCTCCTCAAGGGCACAAGCCATAGTTCTCATTGCATATCTACCATACTGCTAGGAACACCACCTTGTATAGCAGGTAATCAGCAATGTTTGTTAGGTGAGTAAGTAGTTTTGGTTTACAAGTATATATTTTTTATATATATATATATTTATTTATTAGGTTTAAGAATAGTTCATAATTTTCACACTCATTACTTTCCAACTAATCAATCAACATTGTTTGGTTTGAAAAAATTATGAAATGTCTGTGTGACACTAAGTTGGGGGATGTAATGGGGATAAAATTAAGTATGAACAGTTACCACTTATGTCCACATAGAATTTACACACGTTTTCTTTCTACCCATAAATTATCTTCCTAACTTCCTGGAAATTCAGTAGGAAGTAGCATTAACTCAATCTCAAATTTCTAAAAGAGCAATTTAAAAGTGAAAGAGGCTATGCAGAATTGTTAGTGATAAAGATGGTCAGGAAACCCTGTGATTCAGTATTAGGGCCAGCCAATCAGTGTTTCCTATGAATTTCCTATCATCCACCTATTAATCCTCTGTATCGAGTAAAACCTATCCATATAGAAGACCAGCAAACTTCAGCTCACTCCGTGTCAGCAAGTGTACTGACTCAATCCGTCAAAGTAGACAGCATTGATGTCTCCCTTTTTATTTTCTCTGCCATCTCTTTTCCTCCCTAACCCCCTAAAATGGGCTACCTGTCAATTGTTTACTTGCATCTATAACAGAAAAGTTGCTTCTTTATTTAAAGTCTAATTAAAGACTACACTTGGAAGCACATTTAGCAAATTCAAAGTTTTTTTTGAAATACATAAGTAATAATTTTGTTTAGCCATAGCCTTTGAGCTTCATTCTTTATATTGGCAAACATAAGCAGAACTTGCTATTCTTTTCAGATTTTGGAAGTTTTTTTATAAACATTAATATGACTGAAACATTATTACTGTTTCCTGTTATACAATCCTACATGTCTACCAAGAGTACATGTTTGTGTTCATTACCTTTAAAAATAACTGAGATATATCAATTACCATCTCATTTTTACAAGTTTGCAAAGACTCATCATTTCTTAAATTTTCTTAAAATTTTGATATTAAGTAAATTTAATTCAAATAAATTAACAGATAGCAGTAATGGGACAATTGAATAAGACTGAATTACAATTTTAAAATGTATATGCTTTTGGAGCTATTTATCATTTTTTAGGAAATACTTTGTAAAATAAAAATGAATAACTAGATCTGTTATCATTCTAGCATAATTTAAACCAAGGTTAGGTATATGCACCTTTACAGAAGAAGACAGGGATTATACAACCTTAGTGCATGTCATCTTTTATCTTAACAATTAATTATTTTTAAATATATATGTTAAGTATTCTTATGATCTCCTAATATGTATAAATTGGATACAATATTGTATTAGGTGAGATATTATGTGTACTATATCATGACACCAATTTTGTCATTTAAATTTTTAATAATATGGTTATTCATTTGTAAAATATTATAAGACGTCATGAGGGAAATTTATATATATATAACGAATTTGCCCACAATTGTCTGTTTTTAAATAATTTTGTATTGGTCAATTGTCTATAAAAAAATCTAAGAAAGATGTTTTTATTTCTTTGCCCTCATTTTCCAGAGGAGGAATAGATACAAATATTTAGTAATTTTTACCTAGACAAACTGAAATAGTTATTGGCTCTAGCTAAGGAACTCATGAATGCCGACACCCTGTTCCTTGCTCTAACATATTTCAAAAATTAATTATCTCTTTTTACTTAAGCTCCCAAAAGCCATTTAAACTTCTATAATTATTATTAGCACCATAGCTCTGCCTTCAGTATTAAACTTTTAGGTGTTAAAATTCACATTAGGAATTTCAAATTATGAGGGACAGTAGAATTCACCTTAACAGTTTTCAGTCATGAATTTGAGTAATGCTATATGTTAACCTGAAACAAGAAGGATTTACATGTGTGTTAAAATGTAAGATTGAATTCAGGCAAGGAATGGTGGCTCATGCCTGTAATCTCAGCACTTTGGGAGACAGGAGGGTCACTTGAGCCCAGGAGTTCGAAACCAGCCTGGGCAACGCAGTGAGACCCCCATCTCTAAAAAAAAAAAAAAGTAAATTACCCAAGCGTGATGGTGCTCACCTGTATTCCCAGCTACTCAGGAGGCTGAGATGGAAGGATTGCTTGAGCCCAGGAGTTTGAGGCTGCTGTGTGCCCTGATCATGCTAGTGAACTCCAGCCTGGGTGACAGAGCAAGATTCTGTCGCTAAAAAAATAAATAAATAAATAAAGATCGAATCTATAGTTATCCAGTCAGTGCCCAATCCCTAATCCTTAAGAAATTTCATAGTTTAGCTTGTATGGAACTCAACTTTATTAAAACGGAAAAAACATGGAAGTGCACTTAAAACTGAATGGAAACAAAAAAAATAAAGCCTTTTGCTTTGTTGGTGATGTGCAATATGCTGAAGAGAAAGTTGTGAGTTCCTGCAACTGAGTTACCTGCTTATTTATTACTCACCCACACAGTGCGAATTGAGGGTTACCTTACCCTGTTACCTATCCTAAGAGCTGATAAAAAAGGAAAGCTTGGGTCAGACTAAATATTTCTCTGTGGTGACACATTTTTACATCTTGACAACGAACTACCTTGCCAACTGATTCTCCAGCTGCTCAAGCACAAGATGAACGTATTCAAAGGAATCCCACTGCTGCTACTTTTTGGAAGGAGGCAGATCATCATTTCAACACTAAACTACTCGAAGGAATCTGATTTTTGGCAATTCTATAGATTCAGACCCCTCCTAACTTTCTTCTAATGTGCCCAGGACAGAAATCTACATGAATGAGATGTGAGAAAGGAGGGGAAAAAGAAAAAGCAGTAACAAAATGAATCAAACAGATGAAATGGAACCTCAAAAATAAGGTGTAAACATTCCCTATGGCAGTTCAAATTCATTTTTTTCCATCCCGAAATGAAGAGTGCTTACGTCCCACACAAATAAGCGTTGCCTTCAAATTTCTGGGCATTTTTAACTTTGGCTTTCTCTGAGCTGATGGCAAATTGAAGAGATGAGCATTTCCACAAGTCTTCTTAGTTATGCATTTTTATCATAGCTAAACTATGGAAGAAAGAAGAAACTACTGACATCAGTAAATTGTCTAAGGCTCCTATTTAAGTGAGCAGTATGCTAAATACAGTTGACACCTGGAGTAGATCACTCTTAACACCCGCCATTCTTACTTTTTTTTTTGGGACGGAGTCTTGCACTGTCACCCGGGCTGGAGTGCAGTGGCGCAATCTCGGCTCACTGCAACCTCCATCTCCCGGGTTCAAGTGATTCTCCTTGCCTCAGCCTCCCAAACAGCTGGGATTACAGGTGCCCACCACCACACCTGGCTAACTTTTTTGTATTTTTAGTAGAGACGGGTTTTCACTATGTTGGCCAGGCTGGTCTCAAACTCCTGACCTCATGATCTGTCCACGTTGGCCTCCCAAAGTGCTGGGATTACAGGTGTGAGCCACCACGCTCAGCACACCCGCCACTCTATACAACAAAAATATTTTCAGCAATAATAATAAACTGAAAATAATAATAGTGATGACGCTGGGTGTGGTGGCTCACGCCTGTAATCCCAGCACTTTGGGAGGCCGAGGTGGGCGGATCACTTGAGGTCAGGAGTTTGAGACCAGCCTGGCCAACATAGTGAAACCTTATCTCTACTAAAAATAGAAAAATTAGCTGGGTGTGGTGACAGGTGCCTGTAATCCCAATTACTCACAAGGCTAAGGCAGGAGAACTGCTTGAGCCCAGGAGGTGGAGGTTGAAGTGAGCCAGGATTGCGCCACTGCACTCTAGCCCGGGCGACAGATTGAGACTCTATCTCAAAAATAATAACAATAATAACAATAATGGTGATGATAGTGATGTCTTGTGGGGACATATATACTGAAAATTTTTCTTTATTGAACTCTGAGTGTATAATGTCAATAAAAACAGTAAATGATTAAATATCTCAGCATAGGAAAAGGAAAAAACATAATTAATACTTTGTAATCATATTGGTGTATTTTTTGGAAAAGGAAAAACACTTTACATTTTGAAATTTTAAACACAAATAAAACTCCAAGTAGTCATATAGAAGAAGACATTGAAGTAGCTCAAGTTCTGTTTCTTCATCTTTATCTCACTGTGCTATCATATGTTATTTTGAATCTACTATTTAGATGCAGGAATATGTCATAGTACAGGATTTAGAGATAATAACTGTATTTGAAGCCAGCCTGAACAATTTAGAGTGGTTATGTTTTTACTCTGGAACTTGGTCTTGATATGATCACATGCAGCCGAGTTTCCATGTGCCTGGGCTGATGAAATAACATTAAGTTCTCTGAATTAACTTCCATGTTGAATAAAATGTTTATTAAAGGATAAGTAATAAAAATATGCTCATTTGAAGCTTGCGTATATATTATTACAATTCAACTAAAACCACAATAGCAGTTGTTTAGAATTTAGACCAATAAAAAATTTTTAAGGAGGATTATTTTATTACTGACATTATTTAGTATTACCAGTGTATGGTGATAGTAAAATACAGACCAAGTTTTTGTGGATGTTATTAATATATTAAAATTTTCTGGTGGCTGGCAAGATGGCTGAATAGGAACAGCTCTGGTCTGCAGCTCCCAGCAAGATCAATGCAGAAGGCAGGTGATTTCTGCACTTCCAACCCAGCTCATCTCACTGGGACTGGTTAGACAGTGGTTGCAGCCCTGAGAGGGCAAGCAGAAGTGGGGAGGGATGTCCCCTCACCCGGGAAGTGCAAAGGATCAGGGAACTCCCTCCCCTAGCCAAGGGAAGCCGTGAGGGAATTTGCCATGAGGAACGGTGCACTCCGGCCCAGATACTATGCTTTTCCCATCATCTTTGCAACCCCAGACCAGGAGATTCCCTCAGCTGCCTACACCACCAAGGCCCTGGGATTCAAGCACAAAACTGAGTGGCCACTTGGGCAGACACCGAGCTAGCTGCAGGAGTATTTTTTTCATACCCCAGTGGCGCCTGGAACACCAGCGAGACAAAATGGTTCACTCTCTTGGAAAGGGGGCTGAAGCTAGGGAGCCAAGTGGTCTATAGTGGATCCCACCCCCACGGAGCCCAGCAAGCTAAGATCCACTGGCTTGAAATTCTCACTGCCAGCACAGCAGTATGAAGTCAACCTGGAATGCTCGAGCTTGGTGGTGGGAGGGGTGTCAGCCATTACTGAGGTTTGAGTAGGCAGTTTTCCCCTCACAGTGTAAACAAAGCCACCTGGAAATTCAAACTGGGTGGAACCCCCGCAGCTCAGCAAAGCCATTGTAGCCAGACTGCCTCTTTAGATTCCTCCTCTCTGAGCAGGGAATCTCTGAAAGAAAGGCAGCAGCCCCAGTCAGTGGCTTATAGATAAAATTCCCATCTCCCTGAAGCAGAGGCTTTGGGCGCAGCTTCAGCAGACTTCAATGTACTTGCCTGCCAGCCCTAAAGAGAGCAGTGTATCTCCTAGTACAGGGCTCAAGCTCTGCTAAGGGACAGACTGCCTCCTCAAGTGGGTCCCTGACCTCCATGCCTCCTGACTGGGAGACATCTCCCAGCAGGGGTAAACAGACCCCTCATACAGGAGAGCTCTGGCTGGCATAAGGTGGTTGCCCCTCTGGGACGAAGTTTCCAGAGGAAGGAACAGGCAGCAATCTTTGCTGTTCTGCAGCCTCTGCTGGTGATACCTAGTCAAACAGGGTCTGGACTGGACCTCCAGCAAACTCCAGCAGACCTGCAGCAGAAGGGCCTGACTGTTAGAAGGAAAACTAACAAACAGAAAGGAATAGCATCAACATCAACAAAAAGGATGTCCACACAGAAACCCCATCTGAAGATCACCAACATCAAAAACAAAAGGTAGATAAATCCATGAAGATGAGAAAAAACTAGCACAAAAAGTCTGAAAATTCCAAAACCAGAATGCGTCTTCTCCTTCAAAGGATCACAAGTCCTCACCAGCAAGGGAACAAAACTAGATGGAGAATGAGTTTGACAAATTGACAGAAGAAGGCTTCAGAAGGTGGATAATAACAAACTCCTCTGAGCTAAAGGAGCTTGTTCTAACCCAATGCAGGGAAGCTAATAACCTTGAAAAAAGGTTGGAGGAATTGCTAACTAGAATAACCAGTTTAGAGAAGAACATAAATGACCTGATGGAGTTGAAAAACACAGCACGAGAATTTTGTGAAGCATACACAAGTATCAGTAGCCGAATTGATCAAGCAGAAGAAAGGATATCAGAGACTGAAGATCAACTTAATGAAATAAAGCATGAAGACAAGATTAGAGAAAAAAGAATGAAAAGGCATGAACAAAGCCTCCAAGAAATATGAGACTATGTGAAAAGACCAAACCTACGTTTGATTGGTGTACCAGAAAGTGACAAGTGAATGGAACCAAGTTAGAAAACACTCTTCAGTATATTATCCAGGAGAACTTCCCCAACCTAGCAAGAGAGGCCAACATTCAAATTAAGGAAATACGAGAACACCACAAAGATACTCCTTGAGGAGAGCAACCCCAAGACACATAATTGTAAAATTCACCTAGGTTGAAATGAAGGAAACAATGTTAAGGGCAGCCAGAGAGAAAGGTTGGGTTACCCACAAAGGGAAGCCCATCAGACTAACAGTGAATCTCTCTGCGGAAACCCTACAAGCCAGAAGAGAGTGGGGGCCAATATTCAACATTCTTTTTTATTTTTTGAGACATAGTCTTGCCAAGGCTGGAGTGCAATGGCACATTCTCAGCTCACTGCAACCTCCACCTCCACAGTTCAAGTGATTCCCCTGCCTCAGCCTCCTGAGTATCTGGGATTACAGGTGTGCGCCACCACACCCAGCTAATTTTTGTATTTTTAGTAGAAACAGGGTTTCACCATGTTGGTCAGGCTGGTCTCAAACTCCTGACCTCGTGATCCACCCACCTTGGCCTCCCAAAGTGCTGGGATTACAGGTGTGAGCCACAATGCCCAGCCAACATTCTTAAAGAAAAGAATTCTCAACCTAGAATTTCATATCCAGCTAAACTAAGCTTCATAAGTGAAGGAGAAATAAAATCCTTTACAGACAAGTAAATGCTGAGGGATTTTGTCACCACCAGGCCTGCCTTACAAGAGCTCCTGAAAGAAGCACTAAATATGGAAAGGAAAAACCAGTATCAGCCACTGGAAAAACATACCAAATTGTAAAGACCATTGACACTATGAAGAAACTGCATCAACTAATGGGCAAAATAACCAGCTAGCATCATAATGACAGGATCAAATACACACATAACAATATTAACCTTAAATTTAAATGGGCTAAATGTCCCAATTTGAAGACATAGATTGGCAAATTGGATAAACAGTTAAGACCCATCAGTGTGTTGTATTCAGGAGACCCATCCCACGTGCAAAGGCACATATAAACTCAAAATAAAGGGATGGAGGAATATTTACCAAGCAAATGGAAAGCAAAAAAAACAAAAACAAACAAAAAACAGGGGTTACAATCTTAATCTCTGAAAAAAACAGACTTTAAACCAACAAAGATCAAAAAAGACAAAGAAGGGCATTACATAATGGTAAAAGGATCAATGCAACAAGAAGAACTAACTATCCTAAATTTATATGCACCCAATACATGAGAACCCAGATTCATAAAGCAAGTTCTTAGAGACCTACAAAGAGACTTAGACTCCCTCACGATAATACTGGAAGACTTTAACACCCCACTGTCAATATTAGACAGATCAATGAGACAGAAAATTAACAAGGCTATTCAGGACTTGAACTCAGCTCTGGACCAAGCAGACCTAATAGACATCTACAGAACTCTCCACCCCAAATCAACAGAATATATATTCTTCTCAGCACCACATCATACTTATTCTAAAATTGATCACATAATTGGAAGTAAAACACTCCTCAGCAAATGCAAAAGAATGGAAATCATAACAAACAGTCTCACAGACCACAGTGCAATCAAATTAGAACTCAGGATTAAGAAACTCACTCAAAACTGCACAACTACATGGAAACTGAACAACCTGCTCCTGAATGACTACTGAGTAAATAACGAAATTAAGGCAGAAATAAATAAGTTCTTTGAAACCAATGAGAACAAGGACACAATATATCAGAATCTCTGGGACACAGCTAAAGCAGTGTTTAGAGGGAAATTGATAGCACTAAATGCCCAGAAGAGAAAGTGGGAAAGATCTAAAATTGATACCCTAACATCACAATTAAAAGAACTAGAGAAGCAAGGCAAACAAATTCAAAAGCTAGCAGAAGAAAAGAAGTAACTAAGATCAGAGCAGAACTGAAGGAGATAGAGACGTGTAAAACCTTTCCAAAAATCAATGAATCCAGGAGCTGTTTTTTTTTAAAGATTAACAAAATAGACAGACTGCTAGCCAGACTAATAAAGAAAAAAAGAGAGAAGAATCAAAAAGACACAATAAAAAATGATAAATGAAATATCACCGCTGATCCCACAGCAATACAAACTACCACCAGAGAATACTATAAACACCTCTATGCAAATAAACTAGAAAATCTAGAAGAAATGGTTAAATTCCTGGACACATACACCATCCCAAGACTAAACCAGGAAAAAGTTGAATCCCTGAATAGACCAATAACAAGTTCTGAAATTGAGGCAGTAATAGTCCACAAACCAAAAACAGCCCAGGATCAGACAGATTCACAGCCGATTTCTACCAGAGGTACAAAGAGGAGCTGATACCATTCCTTCTGAAACTATGCCAAAATATAGAAAAAGAGGGATGCCTCCCTAACTCATTTTATGAGACCAGCATCATCCTGATACCAAAACCTGTCAAAGACACAACAAAAAAAGAAAATTTCAGGCCAATATCCCTGATAAACCTCAATAAATCCTCAATAAAATCCTCAATAAAATACTTGCAAACTGAATCCAGCAGCACATCAAAAAGCTTATCCACCATGATCAAGTCGCTTTCATCCCTGGGATGCAAGGCTGGTTCGACATACACAAATCAATAAACGTAATCCATCACATAAACAGAACCAATGACAAAAACCACATGATTATCTCAATGATGCAGAAAAGGCCTTTGATAAAATTCAGCAGCCCTTCATGCTAAAAACTCTCAATAAACTAGGTATTGATGGAACGTATCTCAAAATAATTAGAGCTATTTATGACAAACCGACAGCCAGTATCACACTGAATGGGCAAAAACTGGAAGCATTCCCTTTGAAAACCAGCACAAGACAAGGATGCCCTCTCTCACCACTCCTGTTCAACATACTATTGGAAGTTCTGGCCAGGGCAATCAGGCAATAGAAAGAAATAATGGGTATTCAAATAGGAAGAGAGAAAGTCAAATTGTCTCTGCGGATGACATGATTGTATATTTAGAACACCCCATCGTCTCAGCCCAAAATCTCCTTAAGCTGATAAGCAACTTCAGCACAGTTTCAGGATACAAAATCAATGTGCGAAAATCACAAGCATTCCTGTACACCAATAATAAACAAACAGAGAGCCAAATCATGAGTGAACTCCCATTCACAACTGCTACAAAAAGAACAAAATAGCTAGGAAAATAACTTCAAGGGATGTGAAGGACCTCTTCAAGGAGAACTACAAACCACTGCTAAAGGAAATAATAGAGGATACAAACAAATGGAAAAACATTCCATGCTCATGGATAGGAAGAATCAATATCGTGAAAATGGCCATACTGCCCAAAGTAATTTATAGATTCAATGCTACCCCCATCAAGCTACCATTGACTTTCTTCACAGAATTTGAAAAAACTATTTTAAATTTCATATGGAATCAAAAAGAGCCCGTATAGCCAAGACAATCCTAAGCAAAAAGAACAAAACTGGAGGCATCACACTACCTGACTTCAAACTATACTACAAGTTTACAGTAACCAAACCACCATGCTACTGGTTCCAAAACAGAGATATAGAGCAATGGAACAGAACAGAGCCTCAGAAATAATGTCACACATCTACAACCATCTGATCTTTGACAAACCTGACAAAAAACAAGCAATGGGGGAAGGATTCCCTATTTAATAAATAGTGCTGTGAAAACTGGCTAGCCATATGCAGAAAACTGAAACTGGACCCCTTCCTTACACCTTATACAAAAATTAACTCAAGATGGATCAAAGATTTAAATGGAAGACCTAAAACCATAAAAACCCTAGAAGAAAACCAGGACATAGGCATGGGCAGAGACTTCAAGGCTAAAACACCAAAAGCAATGGCAACAAAAGCCAAAATTGACAAATGGGATCTAATTAAAGAGTTCTGCACAGCAAAAGAAACTATCATCAGAGTGAACAGGCAACCTACAGAATGGGAGAAAATTTTTGCAATCTATCCATCTGACAAAGGGCTAATATCCAGAATCTACAAGGAACTTATTCATATTTACAAGAAAAAAACAAACAACTGTATCAAAAAGTGGGCAAAGGATATGAACAGATACTTTTCAAAAGAAGACATTCATGTGGCCAAGAAACATATGAAAAAAAGCTCATCATCACTGGTTATTAGAGAAATGCAAATCAAAACCACATTGAATACCATCTCACACCAGTTAGAATGGTGATCATTAAAAACTCAGGAAACAACAGATGCTGGAGAGGATGTGGAGAAATAGGAATGCTTTTACACTGTTGGTGGGAGTGTAAATTAGTTCAACCATTGTGGAAGACAGTGTGGTGATTCCTCAAGGATCTAAAACCAGAAATTCCATTTGACCCAGCAATTCCATTACTGGGTATATACCCAAAGGATTATAAATCATTCTATTATAAAGACACATGCACATGGATGTTTATTGCAGCACTATTTACAATAGCAAAGACTTGGAACCAACCCAAATGCCCATCAGTGATAGATTGGATAAAGAAAATATGGACATATACACCATGGGATACTATGCAGCCATAAAAAAGGATGAGTTTGTGTCCTTTGCAGGGACATGGATGAAGCTGTAAACCATCATTCTCAGCAAACTAACACAGGAACAGAAAACCAAACACTGCATGTTCTCACTCATAAGTGGGAGTTGAACAATGAGAACACATGGACACAAGGAGGGGAACATCACACACCAGGGTCTGTTGGGTGGTGGGGGGCTAGGGGAGGGATAGCATTAGGAGAAATACCTAATGTAGATGACAGGTTGATAGGTGCAGCAAACCACCATGGCACATGTATATCTATGTAACAAACTTGCACATTCTGCACAGGTATCCCAGAACTTAAAGTATAATAAACAATTTTTTCTACCAAGAATGTACCTACTCTCTTATTGCCTGATCCCATCTCCCTATCTGTGATGTGCTATTCAATTAAATTTGTTCATTTTTTTTTCAATCAGTAAAATGGCAAAGTCAGTAGGACAAGGGCTTTTGTCTCACTGTGCAATGTTTGAATTCCAAGACTCTGTGAACTAATAAATACCAAATGATTGTCCTTTTGATTTTTTTTTTTTTTACAGCACACACCACTACACTTGGCTATTTTTAAAAATATTTATTTTTAGTAGAGATGACATCTTGCCATATTGCCCTGGCTGCTCTCAAACTCCTGGGCTCAAGTGATCTTCCTGCCTCAGCCTCCCAAAGTAGTGGGATTGCAGACGTGAGTCACTGCACCTGGCCTGAATATTTTTCAACAAAAGTCCTTTATATTGCTTTGGTTGTTATTTTACTTGTTTGTTCATTCATTTATTCACTCATTCATTTATTCATTCCTGTATGTTAAGACCTCAACCAAATTTCAAAAAACAGCCATTCTTCTTTTCTTTAGAACAATGGTTGTTCTTATTATTTTTTCCCAAATGTAGGTTTACATTAGGTTTACTCTTTTTTTTTTTTTTTTTTCCAGATGGAGTCTTGCTCTGTTGCCCAGGCTGAAGTGCAGTGGTGCCATCTCGGCTCACTGCAACCTCTGTCTCCTGGGTTCAAGTGATTCTCCTGTCTCAGCCTCCCAAGTAGCTGGGATTACAGGTGTCCGCCACCATGCCCGGTTAATTATTGTATTTTTATAGAGACAGGGTTTTGCCATGTTGGCCAGGGTGGTCTCAAACTCCAGACCTCAGGTGATCCGCCCACCTCTGCCTCCCAAAGTGTTGGGATTAGAGGTATGAGCCACCACTCCCGGCCAGTTTACATTTTTACAGTTGTCTAAGAAATAATGAAAACTCTTCTGTCTTCTGTAGTATTATTTTTAGCAAACAACTGAAAGCATGTGAAATGATAGTTATAGAAATAACTCTGCTGTGAGTAATCCTATTCTCAGCCAATGAATGACCTTTTCCAATATGCTGTTACACAAAAGGGTACTGCAAAAGACAGAGGGAAAAGTACTTGGGCCTTAAATTCCATCGGCAACAACAGAAGTTTCCTAGTATCAGTTTGTCAAGAAAGGGGGGTTGATCAGCATAACACCCATACGTTGGGGGCCATCACAGTAACCAATTTGTTGCCAAATGCAGCTCACATTTGAGGTAGGTCTTTTAATACGATTTTAAGTGGCTGATAGAATTGTGATTATTCTTATATTTAAATAATCTCTGGTGGCTGTCAGAACACTCCAGGTTCCACAACTCTTGACGAGCACAAAACCTGTAGCAGCTTTCACAGAATTGGCACGTTGTTTGACTTGGCAAACAGGGTGTTTAAAGCTGTTTTTACAAAAGTTTCCATTATTTTTACAAAAGCTGCTACAGAATTTAAGTTTTTTCTCACATTTCAAACGTATGTGTGTTTGTTTATGGACAGATAAAACCAAAAGAAAAATAGGAAAGCATCTCAGGTTTGGTGCTAAATCTCTACCCAAATAGGTGTATATTAAAAAGACTTGCAACTAGGGCTGTAGATGAATATCCCTATTCTAATTAGCTAAACCAACCTCCGATTTCTCTAACTCAAAGCTTTCTTCCAGTGTCTATGTTGTTCAGCCTGTTCCCGTCATTGCAGCCATCTTATAAATACAACTGTCTCTATTTGAAATTGAACTTGATCAAATATTTATTTTTATAATTTTTTTTCCTTAAAAATGGCTCCAATACTGTTTTTAAACACTTTTACCTTTAATTAGGAAATCAGAGATGGGGGGAAAAATCTGGGCCCATGTTTTATGTCCCTGAGATGGTGAACACTTGAGGGCTTAGAGGGATGCTATAAATTGCTGGAAGATAAAGCCATTCACCTACAGACTCATTGCTTCCTTTCCTGCTTCCAGCTACAGGTCCCTCCATTTCCATCATTTTAGTTACCTCCTCTCAAAAACTTTGGGTGAAAGCAGAATTGGGTTGACCTCAGGGCCTTTAGCCATTTTTTCCAGAGGATGTCTTTTATAAAGGAGCAGAAGCAATAGACATGGCTCATGTCCTTTAAACTTTCCTCCTTGGAATTTTGGTTAAAGTTGATGAGACTGAATTTTTGAGCCTCTAGGACCCTCCTCAAGAGGCCCAATGCTGTTCTAGTGCCCCAAGAGCAAGAACACCTCAAGGATGTCCGATGGATTCCCAGGTAGTAGCCCTGGGAGCACCACATGACAGGCTGAGTTACCAGCCAGCCTTGTGACACAGCCTGGCACCACCAGTAAGATCACTTAAAAATTCATCATTTCATGATGGTTACTAAATATTTAAATTTAATACACATTTCTAGAAATTCTATGAATGGGAGACTGACATTTCACAAGTTCATTTATTAAGATGTTTAAAGGCAGGTTGTCCTTAATGTAATAATTTTCTTCAGCTTCTAAATACATCTTGAGAGGAAACAGCCTATATTAGTTTATCATTTCTTAGGCCCTTGAAATTTTAACACAAGCAATATACAAGACTCTTGTATAAATATACAATAATTGTTTTGAAAGTCCTGACTTGAAAAATAAGGTATCTCAATCCTGCAGAATTATTATACTTGTTTTTGAAACAGAAAGAAAATATAGTGGCTGAAGTAGTTGCCCCTTTTTATTCATCAAATGATAATTAGTGAAGATGTAAAATCTGGCAAATCAGGATTCAGGAAATGATGCTTGCTTGTTTTAAGCATTTAGTAAAGTGCTAATTGTCTTCATATTTTAAGATAGCATTGCAGACCTTTGGATGTGTCTGCAAAGACTGGTTTGTATTATGTTGATAGCTACAAGTCATCAGCTATCAGTCGGAAGACTGATCCACATATTTGTAGCTGAAGGTAACGTAGTAGAAGAGTTTTAATAATAGTTACCATTTATTCACCAGGCACTGGTGTTGGTGACTTTATATACATTAACTCATTTTATCTTCATGATGACCATTCAAGGTACAGGTATTATTATCCCTATCTAACATATGAAGACACTGAGACTCAGAAAATATAAATGATTATCTAGAGCATACAAGTCTAGTAAAAATGGAGCCTGTGCCAACTCCTGTCCTGGACAAAAGAACACCTGAACTCTGGTTATAAGACGAGCCCAGGGAGGTGTGGAACTAGCCTATGGGCAATAGGAGTCAGAGCCCAGGATAATCTCAGTAGAGAAGCAGAGGTGGGGGTGCAAATTCCCTGAGTACCAGCCACAGCACCAGGACACAGTCCCCCATAGGTGAAGCCAGCGTTTCAAGACAGCTCCGTGTGGCACAAAAGCTTCTGTTACCAGCCTGGGTGATGAAGCAAGACCCTTTCTTTATAAAAAGTTTAAAAATTTGCTGGGCATGGTTGGGTGCACCTATAGTCCAGCTACTTGGAGGCTGAGATGGGAGGCTCCCTTGAGCCCAAGAATTTGAGGCTGCAGTGAGCTATGATTATACTACTGCACTCCAACCTGGGTGACAGAGCAAGACCCAGTCTCTAAAAAAAAAAGAAAAAAAGAAAGAAACCTTCTGTTATTCCCTGTATGATTTGTGAAGCACCCATTAGGTGGCTGGTACTAAAGGATATAGAGATAAGTAGGACAGGTCCCTGTTGTCAGAGAACCTACAGTCTAACGGAGGAAACTGACAACAGAAAGAAATCTTAGTCAGTCAGGGTATTTGATCATTATAAGTGTGTATGGGATTGCCAAGGAGCAAAGATGAATAGGAGGTGGGAGTGGCAATCAGTGAAGGCTTATTGGAGGTCTTATCTAATCTAAATTTTAAATGACAAGTAGTTAAACACACACATACTGTTCATGGACCTTGTTATGCCACCTTGTCCAAGTCTGCTAATCAGAAAGAAAGATAAGAAACAAATGAGTGTTGTCAGCACTCAATATTTTTGCTTGGTTTGACTTTGTAGCCATGTTGACACTATACTTGATCTACCCTTGTCCTAAACAACATGCTGACTTCTTGATTAGGGGTTTCTATTTTGCTTTCAGTGCATTAGGCAATGTGCCACTCAGGTAGCAGAATTTGATTATAGTTTTCATCATTGCTTTCTGAATTGCTGTGGATTTTCTCTGGTGTTGGCTGATATGTGACTTTTGCAGTTTTTGATTTGGAAAAGTTTCTTTGAGGACTAGCAGGATGGACTAACTCCCACCTCGACTCTAGCTTCTGGTTTTATTTTTCCTGGCCGTGGCTGTATGTGCTGTGTTTAAGAAGCTTAAGCCTATGATTACAGGACTGTTTTGTCTAAGAGCTGTGAGGAGAGGATCAAAAGTGATACCATCAGCTTTGGCATTACTAGTCATTACCTAATGGACTTTTCAGTCTTCATAACTTTCTTAGCCCAGTTAAACCTAGGCAATAGCCAAGGAAGTGTAAACCTGCTGACAAACTTTAAATTCTTTCACAAGGCCAACATACAGACAATAGCTCCCTGCATCACTGACAACCTAAAACCATATTATCTTTGCAAGAAAGTCCAATTGCTTGTCTCTTGAATAAGGGATTTCAGTACACAAAACTTACATTCAATATGGGCAATTTTGTATCTTTCTCAATTTACAGGTATTATTAATATCTGTGTAGAGACAGTATCATGTATATCAAATAAAATGAGAATGGACTAGATTTCTTCAATGAAAATGCTAGGAAATTGAGGGTCAGATAAAAATCCGAAGAACATATAAAAATCCAGAGTATGTTTTAAAATAGCTGTTTTTAAAAAAAATAATTATTTGTTCATTCAACAAATATTTATTAAATGCCCATTACATGCCTGACATTGTTTTAGGCACTTGGAATACATCAGTGAACAAAATAGATAAACTTACTTGCCTTTAATACCTTTACATTCTAGAATTATTTGCTTTTCTTTGGAGAAGTCAATAGTTAATTCAGTACTCCAGCTGACCTGTAAAGTAATGTAAATTACACATACAGCTTTGAATTTTATTTAACCAATTGATAATCTTATATAATGTCTATAATTGTTTTAGTTGTTCTGTATTATTCATGCATTTAACAAAAATGTATCGAGCAGCCCCTGAATATGAAACACCAAGCATATGTACAAAATAGAGACTGCCCTCAGGAAATTCAGTTCTGTATCAGAAATTGAGACATACACACAAATCACAAATCACCATATAGAAATTAGTACACGATACATGTAGTAAAGTGATACAATGTTTCTACATATCTAAGTGAGATCTGTGGCAGAGGGTACGGCACAGGTGGAAAGATGAATGGGCAATCAAAGGATGCTGCACAGAGGGTAACATTTAAGGGACCACTTCAGAGTGGGAGCCATTATTGGCAGACTGCATTGCAAACAGAGGGTAAAGGAAAAAAAGGGAAAGATGTATTTTAGGAATAGCAAAATAGCACAACTTGACTAGTGCATAGTAGTACTTGAAACTTGTATCAATTCCAGACTGTGAAGAGAATTGAATGATAAGCTCCAAGTTTGTACTAGGTAGAAATGAGGGGAGGGAGGGCACTGATAAATTTTTGCTATAGAAATGTCCTAAATATATCATGTCTAAATGAGTAAACTTGTAACTTGTCTGCAGGGTGATTAGTGCAGGCTGAGCCAGCGTGCTGTGGTAGTTAGAATGGAAGGACTGCTGTTTGGTGGCAGTTGCCGTGCACAGTGTCTTAAGGTATAATTAAGTATTATCTGGACCAATTCAAAATGGGGTGATATAGGCAAGGATATCTGTGGACTTCCTCAAGAATACCACCCACTTCATATACATTCATAACATAATCCTGTCAAAGTGGCACCTTTAATAAAGAAAAAGCAGTTATAATTAGGTATTGGGAAACTATAGCAAATTTGAGAACATGAAAGGTCCAAGAAGAGGAAAATATCAAATGGGAAAGTGGTGATTCATGTCGCATTAACATCATTAGTTAGGCAATTCTGCCCAAATAAATAATTTTTATATACATTTTTTACAATACAAGTTTATTTGAGAGGATAGTTTTAAATGTCACCATTTTCTTTATGTCAGATCCAGATGAGTGACTATGCATCAGCAAACTTTGCATTTGACAAATGATCACTTCTTCGCATTCAGTGTGTAATAGAACAACTGGTTGGATTCCTCACTTTAAGATATATCAACATTTGATTCCATCAACACTTAGAAAATCAGTAGATTATTCCTGTGGTGCCAATTTAGGCATTCAGTAATCGCGTTTAGGTTTAATTGGTAAGCTTTCTCCTCCAAGTGCTTAGACATCAAAAAGATGTGTTGAGCTTGCAAAGTCATAAGCTATACATGAGGTTATTTTTTAGTTTGGAAGTAATTGTTTTAAAATACTAATTGGACTCACTGAGAACTCATTAAGAAGACAGTTAAATATATTATTAGGGAATAACAAATAAATTTTTTAAAATGTAAGCTAAAATTTATCTCTTAAATTCAGTTGATTGCTGCTGAAATTTTGCTATATCTACATTGGTCTTATTTGAATAACAAGTTGGGATTTTTTAAAGTATTTAAGGATTTTGCTATTTTTAGTGACTTTATTAGTGATTTAACATGAACATGAATCTTAACCAAGGCATGATTTCCGTAATTATTCCTTAAGAATCTACTCTATTCCTGTGGTAAGTTAATTATGGATCATTTAACATGAGACAGAAAACAGCCCCTACACTGGATAGCAGAGAACTTTAAATTTTATTTCCAGCATTACCACTGATTAATTGTGACAATGAACAAGTCACTTAAGCTCTACATACCTCAATTTCTTCTTCTGTTAAAAGGAAATAATATCTGTCACAAGACATTTTCAGAGCTCTTTGGAATCACTGGCACAAAGAAGTTCAATAAATCAAGAGTAGTATTATTATTACTCATCCAAAATGTAATAAAAGATTTTTTAATGTAGTAACCGTTCAGCTCAGATTTAAATATAAAGTCTCTGAATTTAGAATTCATTCCTACTCTTGCCTTTTAGTCTTGAATGTTTACATTCATTTCTTCAAGCTTCAATCCTCTGAAGGTAATTATTGCATTCTTCTGCTTTGCTGAGAATCGTTTTATATTATGGCTTCCCTATCTTCTATTTTAGGTGCTAACTTCTTCATTTTGCACGCCCTCTCTCCACCCTCAGAATTTTTTACACCTTTTGTCTCTTTTTTACTTTGCACTTTTTATATTTTTATTTGAAAATATTTCTTATGATTTTTTCCCTTTAAACAGACTATTGTATACCCTGAAATTGGCTTTCTGTATATCTGAAAATTAAAGTCAAAGTTATTTGCCTGTCCTTGATCATTCCTACAAACATTTCTTACATTACAGAGGCAGGTTGTATTTTGTTAAGTAACCAGCAGAAAAGCAACTTGGTCTTGAGGATGAAACTGAGAACACAAAATTAATAGCTGACATTATTTGAAATAGTCAAATAGTAATTATGAATTTCAATATTTCATATCAAGAATATTAGCCATATAGAATTTTTTAGTTCATCATTCTTTTTCTTCTGACAGAATTTATTTGTGGTGATACCTTACTCATTTATTAAATTCACATATATTCATAGGTTTGTCTGTTCTCTATTCTGTTCTATTCATCAGTTTGTCTGTTTTTGTGCCAATCCAATGTGAGTTTTAATATTATGGCTTTATGGTATGTCTTAATATCTAGCAGGACAGTTCTTTCTTTTTAAAGGTATATTTAGCTGCTGTATATAGTTATAATCATATAAATTTTAAAATAAGTTTGAATTCATAAAAAAAATCCACCTGGAATTTTGGTTGGGAGAACTGATGTTGTATTAAGTTGTATCTGATACTGTCTTAGGCATTGCCTGTTGAAGTGAACTAGTTCAATAAAATGATATTTTAAATCATTTTAAATGGCAATAGAACCTTCCATTAAAAAAACTCTGATTCTAAAATAAGCAAAAGACATAGTTCCTTCATTCTGTCAATGGGTTTATAGTCTAATTGAGAACATCTTCCAAAAGACAAGAATATTTACGAAGCAACTTGCTAACATTTTGGTGGCAGGCATGCTGAGATGACAGAAGGAAGAGGAAGTCAGATGGTATGGGATGGGATCATCCGGGAAGACTTCTTGGCGGAATACTTGATTAAGTCAGACTTGGAAGGTGGGGAGAACATGGAACAAGATAAGAGGTGGGCAGTTTTGAAGAGAGAAAAATAGCAAAACATGGAGACCACAGATAGGTCTCCGTACAGCAGCTGCTGCTGAGACTCAGTAGGGAACGGGGAAAGGGGAATTTATTTATCTACAACAGTGGTTCTCAATCAGGGCCTATTTTGCACTCTCAGGGGACACTTGTCAATGTTTGGAATGTTTTCGTTGTCACAACTGGAAGAGGAGGGGTTGCTACTGGCATGTGGTAGGTAAGGCCAGGAAGGCTGCCAGACATCCTACAATGCAGGAGGCAGCCCTAACAATTATCCAGCCCCCACTTTCAATAGTGCTGAGGTTGAGAAACCCTGCCCTAAAGCTAACTCTACCAATCCTAGCTGCACAGCACAATCACCTAGGAAAACTGAAACACAACCAACACTTAGGCCTCACCCACAGAGATTCAGACTGCATTGGTGCAGGGCCTGGGCCATCAGTTGTTTTAAAATCTTCCCAGGTGGTTTTAATGTGTGGCCAACTTGGAAAACCCTGCTGTGAATTCTTGTAGTTGAAAGGGGGAGACAATTAGATTGGAGGAAATTTTTTTTTGTACTTTTCATTCATGCCACTTTCTTATTTATGTCTATACTTTAAATGACAATACGCAAGAAAATGCTTTTGGGTATGGCAAGTGTGTGTGTGTGTGTGTGTGTGTGTGTGTGTGTGTGTGTGTGTGTTAAATCACTTATGTTTGAATTAATATATAAAAGTATCACATTCTCCTGTCTCCATCGAAAAGAGCCTATGCTCTGCTAAAACTGACATTTTACAAATAAGTGCTATAAATGTGTATTTTAAGTCAATTTACAAATCTACTAAAGCAAACAAAATATTCTTACCATTTATGATTGGCTTCTCTCTATATTAAGATATTTAGAAGTATAGTATGGGCACAAACTGAATTGTCAGTACTTTTGTCAAATTATCCAGCTATTTAGTATGATTTCCAAATTATACTTCTTGCTCAAAACACTGATACAGTTTGGTTTCTCATGTCCTGGAGTTATGTTGTTGATTTTGAAATGGGCTTCTTTTTCCAAACTCCAAACCTGTGGAGCAGCTGGTGGTGTTTAGTAACCGTCTGCACCAGAAGTCTCATCTTTTTAGCATTTAAAATTAATTTTTCTCATTTTGGCACATAAAGAACCCAAGTGTGCCCCTTACCTCATTACCTGAAATATTACAGTGGCACTAGCAGTGAGGACGTGTGGTGCAGCAGCTATTTGAGCATCAGATATAGTAGCACTGATAGGTTACACATAAGGAGATTATACCAGGAGAGGGCCTGCACCCTTTACTGTAGAAACAGGAGGTTTATATTCACGTGGTTTGCAAATATGCTGTAACAATGAATATAACATCAATGGTTCTGGTTGGGTTTTCTCCCACTAAAATGGCAAATCTCTTTATGCAAAAGATGAGTGTGTCATGCCAAGTACTCATGATAGATGAATACTGAATTGATCCATGTAAAAAATTAGAGCTGAGCTCCCAGATAATCTGGATCCCTCATGGCTAACCGAACCCAAAACAAAAATGTTTCAGTTTTACCATAAGATAAAAAACTGTATTTCTGGTATAGTACAGAGAGTTCTGGACTGGGAGTGAAGAAACCTGGGGTTTGATTCTGGATCTACCAGGCATGTTGTTTAATGTTCTCTATTTTATGATCACCAGGCACTAATCATCCCTCACCTGGAATTCAGTAGAAAAATGCCCCCAACTAGTGTTCCGAACTCCAGTTTTATTCTTCTTAAATCCATCTTCCACTCTGCTGCCAGCATGAACCTTCTAAAATATAAAACTAATCCTGTCACTCCCCAGGCCACCGAGTGTGGCTGTGCCGACTGAGCTTCTTCTAAAGATATCGTTTGATGCTTTTTATCCCCTGGGTCTTCATTCATGCTGTCCTTTCGGCCTGAAACATATTTCTTCATTCCTTTATTCCTAGTTAGTCCTCCTCATACTTTAAGATGCATCTCAGGAGTGACCTCATCCAGGGAACTATCATATTAGGTGCTTTTCCTTAGGCCTAGGCTTCCTGTTGCTTCTATTAAAATTATCGAAAAGTATCTGTTTAGGTGGTGGTCCTCCTATAAAGACAGTAATATGCTCTTCAAAGACAGATAACTGATCCTAATTATCTTCCCCTGATGCCTAGCATAATGTCTGGCAAAGAATAGGCATTCAGTAGGGAAGAGTATGGAAAGGAAGGAAGAAAGAAGGGAGAAGAAAAGGTGAGGAGAGAAAAGGAAGGGGAGAGGTAAGATTGAGTAAGTAGAGATAAATGGGTAATATAGGATAGAAAAAGAATGGGAAGAAAGGCGGGAAGAGGAATGATGGATGATGCAGTTGGTCCACCCTGATTTTTAAGATCTAACCGACTTAAATATTTGCAATTCTGTACCATTATAATATTCCATTTAAACACTCCTCTTACCATGGTATTTTGTATATTGTGGCATAGTCATTGTTACATTATTCTCTGGGTTTCAATAGATTGTCTAGCACCGGATCTGTAGTAAAGGAGCAAAATCAAGACCATGAGCTAGACTTCCAAACCTCTCTAAATTTTGCTTTTTCTCACTAAAAGCAAAAGTTACTGACCTTATTTTAAGTTTTTTTGTAGTTCATATTAGTCTCTTGATAGCTCCAAGGCAGCTTACTTAGATATTATATACCACATAATGTATAAATAGGACTTATTTAAGAATATATGAGTATCTAAAAATTTAGTAAATTTTTCCTACAGCCTGTTACTAATTCATAGTTTATAATCTTTCATTAATTACAATATAGGTGCTTTACAACACCTGCCTTTTAAATGGCTTAGGTTTCATGTATAAAATTGTGACAGGGCAGAATTTCATATTGTATTTTGATAAAAATAAAGTAATTGTATTGAAATAGCTAATTTACATAATATGACCATTCAATTCCCATATTAAGTAAAGTAAAGGTGAGAGAGAAATCTGTAATTTACATAATGACTTCCCATAAAGAGACCCACATATGGGGGAACAGAATTGAAATTTAGGAAAGTATTCAGATAATTTGAGACAAAACAGAATTATCATTTAATGATGCATATAGAACTTCCCATATCTGAAAAAGGTACATTTCAACTTCATTTACTGTCAAAAATATGACTTAAGAAGTAGTGATCATTCAGGATAGAAGTTATTTCCAATCACAACAAATCTTTGTAAATACAAGTTGCCTAATTTCCTGTGCCCACAGTGCTACAAGAAACACTGATGGAGCTCTGAACTCAGGGTACCTGACTAAGAAAAAGGCTAACTCAACAATACAACTTAGTGTCAATCCATGTCATTTTTTAAAAAATCCCTTATCACAAAACACATAGATACTATCTTTTTCAGTTCCTTGAAAAATGTAGCAAATATTCAATAGTATTTGTTGCTTTCTCTAAATTCCAAATTTTCATACTGAATTTTCTATATGGAATACTTATAGCTCAATGCAAACAAATTGTGAAATGTTGCAAGCAGGAATGCCTTAATATACTTATTTCCATTGTGTGTTAAAATTGATTGCTAGAGGCAATTTATTTTTTCTAATTTTTATTTTTTGAAATTTTACTTCAAGTTCTAGCATACATGTGCTGAACTTGCATGTGTGTTACATAGGTATACATGTGCCATGGTGGTTTGCTGCACCTATCAACCCATCATCTAGCTTTTAAGCCCCTCATGCATTAGGTATTTGTCCTAATGCTCTCCCTCCACTTGCCCCCAACCCCCTGACAGGTCCCACTGTGTGATGTTCCCCTCCCTGTGTCCATGTGTTCTCACTGTTCAGCTCCCACTTATGCGTGAGAACATGTGGTGTTTGGTTTTCTGTTCCTGTGTTAGTTTGTTGAGGATGATGGTTTCCAGCTTCATCCATGTCCCTGCAAGGGACATGAATTCGTCCTTTTTATGACTGCATAGTATTCCACGGTGTATATGTGCCACATTTTCTTAATCCAGTCTATCATTGATGGGCATTTGGGTTGGTTCCAAGTCTTTGCTATTGTAATAGTGCTGCAATAAACATCCATGTGCATGTGTCTTTATAGTAGCATGATTTATAATCCTTTGGGTATATACCCAGTAATGGGATTGGTGGGTTGAATGGTATTTCTGGTTCTAGATCCTTGAGGAATCGCCACATTGTCTTCCACCTTCTGCAATGGTTGAACTAATTTACACTCCCACCAACAGTGTAAAAGCATTCCTATTTCTCCACATCCTCTCCAGCATCTATTGTTTCCTGAGTTTTTAATGATCACCATTCTAACTGGTGTGAGATGGTATCTCATTGTGGTTTTCATTTGCATTTCTCTAATGACCAGTGATGATGAGCTTTTTTTCATGTTTGTTGGCCGCATAAATGTCTTCTTTTGAGAAGTGTCTGTTCATATCCTTTGCCTACTTTTTGATAGGGTTGTTTGTTTTTTTCTTGTAAATTTGATTAAGTTCCTTGTAGATTCTGGATATTAGCCCTTTGTCAGATGGATAGATTGCAAAAATTTTCTCCCATTCTGTAGGTTGCCTGTTCACTCTGATGATAGTTTCTTTTGCTGTGCAGAAGCTCTTTAGTTTAATTAGATCCCATTTGTCTTACTTACCTACCAGGTAGGTAGTAACTGTACCTTATTATCTCATTCAGTACTCTGTTTTATTTCTGGTATTGCTCGCCTGGGTTGTGAACAATTATCAGAAATAAAACAGAGTATCAAATGAGACTGAAAAATCTTACCTTTACTCTTGGAGAGACCAGGATGGATGTAGCATGTGGGTTTCTGAACCCTACAATTAGACACTTACCCACTTAGGCAGATCTCAAGAAAAAGAAGAGTAGAGTTGAGCAATGCCTGCTTAGTTATTTCCAAACTTGCCAGTGGGCTAAGCCACTCCTCCTGGCCCTGAACAGAGTGAGTAAAGAGGCGGAGAGAGGCCAAAAGTGTGCTTAGGAAAAGAATTCTCATTTTATGGAAAGCAAGGGCTGGTTTTTCTAACTCCTCTGCAGAGAATAACCACTCCTCTGCAGAGAATAACCAATGCCTAGCCATAAGGCTGTTTGATAGCAGGCCCTCTCTATTCCTGCTATCAAAGAGCCTTTGATAAGAATTAAATTTATTTAATAATTAAATAATTAAGAATTAAATCTTAATCAATCTATTTCTTATTATCCAGCAATAATGATCATGTTGACATTTTCTAAAAACACTATGCAGACATTTCCCAAAACTAGTCCTCATCAAGCTGACAACGGTCTCACCAATTAATAATGTCTGCTTTTGGGGATTTTTTTGGTACGCCCCCATCTGATATTATAAGCGGCATAGCGATTTTAATCTAGGCTTGTCAAATCCCACACTCTTTCTGCTACACCTCTGGCTTCTTGTAATGAATGGTCTTGCATAGCTAATGTGGTCTTTTCCATATTCTATGTGAAATCACCCTACTCCACCAATTTCTCCTTTCTCAGGAAAGAAGTCTGCATTAGTTAAAAAAAGAAAACCAACCTGAGCAATTGGGAAGGACACTAGGTAAATATTAAAGAAACAGCCATAAAGCCAAATGCAACTTTAAAACAATAAATAACACAAGGCAGGATATTGAGCAATATTTGCCATGCCCGTAACCACTCACATTCTTAGTCTAATTTTCTTTCCTAGTTTATGTTCTTTCATTAGACTGTGAGTTAGACTTCTATATGTTACTACACACTTAATAAAGATATTTCACTTTTCCTGGTGTGCTTCCAGAGACCTAGCATGCAGTGAAGGTTTTATAGTCCTGTGCAGTGCAGCAGATGTCATTCCATTTGCCTAAGTCCTGCTGACATTTGGAGATGTGGATTAATTGAGCTACAGAATGAAATTTAATTAAAATTAAATACAGACTTGGCCATTGTATCTGTTCATTTCCTGCACTCTAGTATGTGTATTTGCAGGCAGCGCCATAGTTAATTTGTTTAATCAGGATGCTCTGTGGGGGAAGCTGCACTTTGTTTTACGCTGAAAGACTGAGGGTGTGGTGGATGCCAGGTTGGATTTCATTACACACAATGCGAGCTGTGTAAATGATGCTACTGATGAGCCTCAAAGGACTACCTGAGGGAGCAAGGTGGCTCCATATGAACCCATAGAGAGACAACATGTCATAGACAACATTTAGTGATGTCTTTTAAATTGACATTACATGACCACAGAAATCTTGTCTATTACCCATTAACATGTTGCCATAGTATTTGTTCACTCAAACATTCATTCATTCATTCATTCAACAAAGATTTTTTTGAGTACGAACTGTGTGCTAGGTCCTGAGTTTAAGGTAAGCACTATTATTAATTGTAACCATATTCTTTCTAGTAACTCCAATTGGAGAGGTTGCTACTTCTTTAAGATATATTTTTTAGAACAAGATAATATAGGCTATCTAAAGTTTATCTCTGGAATGAGGAGAAACTATATTACTTTATGTTTTAATGAGATTGTATCAGGGCAAGTTGCATAGATCCTACCCTTCCTTTGATATCCATTGCAAAGATCACCTCCTTCTGGGGGGCTTTCCCAATTCCTGCAGTGGAAAATGAACTCTATTCCAACAACTCTCCGAAGTACACAGAAGTTCTTTGTGTTATATCTGTATATCTAGATTATAAGCTTTTTGTCAACATCCTCTTAATCTTAAAAAATATGTAGGCTAGTGCATCATTTCCAGAATGTCCTTGAAGACTATTTCTTAGATTGAATATACTGTATTGTCAAGCATATGTGTTCCTTGGTAGTGGACCATTACTGTTTTGGCAGTCTAGCGTCATGTTTTCCTTCTGAGGCAATAGCACAGTACCTCTACTTTGACAAATCACTTCTCCCACCCCTATATACCTCAGGTAAAGGTGAGTGAGCTGGAGCCTGAGCCAATCAGTGTATTCCACCCCTCTGTTATTGGTTCAGAAATGGTCACGTGACACAAGCCAGCCTAGTCAGAACCAATACTGCTACAATCTAAGGCCTCGGTTTCTCTTCTGTTGGACATGAAAGGATGAAGCTCATGAGTTCCCTTTTTCTGCAAGGGGAGAATTGTCTGAAAATGGAGGCAACCCAAAGGAAGCTACAGTGAAGTAAAGAGAATCTTGTTACTCATCCGTTGCTGCTTTGTTATCTTAGCTAATGAGTTTTTGCTGAAGTTGGTCTGAATTGTTTTATAGAAAGGTTTTATAGATTATTAGCATGCCAGACCAATTTCTGGCTGTAGTATGCAAAAGAACCATACCTGATCAGCCTCATTATGGCGATCATTTATATGACACTTGCTATTCTGTAAGCTCCTTAAGGACAGGTACATTTCCTCTTATCTAGTGACTCAGTAATTAGCTCGGAGCCTGGAATAGTGTGTGCTCAATAATATTATTTTGTTGAAATTAAAGAATAAATGTAAATTCTGGTGGTTATATGACAATGTCAATGAATAATCTTTTTGTAGTAAAACTGCTAAAATTGACATATTGCTCACAAACCCTTTCACTACTTTTTTGTTTTGCTCTTGTTCGTATGACTAAAAGGTCACCCAGCAATTTCTAAGGGTGAAAGAGATAGTTCAACCATCTCATATTAATAACCAGCCTTATGTCAAAAACTCCCTGAAAAAGAAACTCTACAACCCCATTATGTTATGTATGCCAATGTTAACTATTCTTACCACCTAGACATTCTTCTTTATGTTCCCTGCATGATACATAGAGATTCTGAGTCCTCATAAATTCCAAAGTAAGCATTTTCTCAGTTGAGCTATATTGCTTCTAGCTATTGACTCTCAAATTGGTTCAAATCAAAGAGCACACCATGTTCTTTCTGGCACATATTTTCTATTCTGTACCAATTATACCTATTTCATATGGACAATATTCTATTAGTCCTTGGAGTTATGGCAAAATAAGCTTAATATTTTTTTCTCCTTGTATATATCTTTTGTGAATTTAATCCTGCTCTTTTTAACTCTCATTTTCCACAGACACAGTAATATTGATAAGGTTGACAACTAAAATAATAATTAACATTTGGTAAGCATTTTTTTTTAACCTCCTAACCATTACATCAGTCCTCACAATAAAATAGGAGATAACTATTCTTATCCCCATTTTCAACATAAGAAAGATGAGGAGGCAGAGATTTAAACCCCAATCACCTTTAAGAAATTCGCTGAGCTGTAGGACATAGGGAAACTTAGGAAGAATTTATGATTTTGATAGATAAACATTTTAACTATTCTATTTGGGACACTGAAACCTCCAAAAGGAGAGATGGAGTAATGGGGACAGAGGCTGAAAAATTTCTTATTGCGTACTATGCTCACTGTCTGGGTGACGGGATCAGTAAAAGCCCAAACTTCAGCACCAAACAATATACCCTTGTAGCAAACCTGCACATGTACCCTGTGAATCTAAAATAAAAATGGAAATATAAACAAATAAATAAAATATTCTATTTGTAGGATACTGTTAAGAAATGTTCCCAGTATTATATTTTCTTGATTAATATGAGCTAATATTAATAAATGCCTCTCCGTACACATATACACACATAATAGCTAACATTTTTTGAGTTCTTACTATGTGCAAGGCACTGTAGTAACAACTTCTGTATCTGTTAACTCATTTAATACTTGCAACAAATTTATGAGATAAGTACTGCTATTATCTTCATTTTACAGATGCAGAAACTGAGCAAAGAGAAGTTAAGTAACTTACTTATACAAGATCATAAGACTAGTAAATGGTAGAACCAGAACTTGAACACAAATGCCACAGCTGCAAGGCCACCCTGCTTATCCATATAGGACAATATTTAAGAAAGCAATTAATTTGCATCCTAAATTTATTGTCTGTCATCTTTCAGAGTATCTGCCCTGTGCTAGTCACTGAGCTATGTTCTGAGGATACTGAAGTAAACAAGACAGAAGGAGGCCTTTTCCTATGAATTATGTTCCATACATACACTGAGCCAATCAGTGTATTCCATCCCCCTGGCATCTGTGATTGGTTCAGAAATGGGAACATGCCCTAAGCCATGTGCAAGAAACACAAACATTTCTTTGAAATAAGCAACAAATTATATTTTAAATCTGGTAAAGTTCTAAACTGTAATAAGTTTTGCCAGATTTTTCCCAAGTCAGGAATTATTTTTTTAACCTGCTTGATCTCATTGAAGACAGATGAGTAAATTATTAGGTTGGAGAAAGGAACATAAATGTTCACACATTTTCTATGTGTTGATCACTTCTGGACATTGGTTGCTTGACAGATGTGGTCAAAAGAAATAATAAAATTTGTATTATGTCTTGTTTTTTACTTAAACTTTTTATTTTTAATTTTTGTGGGTACATAGTAGGTGTATATATTTATGGGGTACATGAGATATTTTGATACAGGCATACAGTGCATCACAGTCACATCAGGGTAAATGGGGTATCCATCACCTCAAGCATTTATCCTTTCTTTGTGTTACAAACATTCCAGTGATACTCTTTTAGTTATTTTTAAATGTGCAGTAAATTATTGTTGAGTGTAGTCACTCTGTTGTGCTATCAAATACTAGATATTTTTCATTCTATCTAACTATATTTTTGTGCCCATTAACCATCCCCATGTCCCTGTCCTCCCCCCACTACCCTTCCCAACTCCTGGTAACCATCATTTCTACTCTATCTCCATGAGTTCAATTGTCTTAGTTTTTTTTTTTTTTTTTTTTTTTTTTGCTCCTACAAATAAGTGAGAAGATGCAATGTTTGTCATTCTGTGTCTGGCTTATTTCACTTAACATAATGACCTCCAGTTCCATCCATGCTGTTGCAAATGACAGGATCTCATTTGTTTTTATAACTGAATAGTACTCCATTGTGTATATGCACCATATTTCCTTTATCCACTTGTCTGTTGATGAATACTTAGGTTGCTTCCAAATCTTGGCCATTGTGAATAATGCTGCAATAAACATGGGAGTGCAGATATCTCTTCTACATAATGATTTCCATTCTTTTCGGTATATACCTTGGAGTGGGATTGTTGGATCATAGGGTAGGTCTATTTTTAGGTTTTTTTGTTTGTTTTTGTTTTTGAGGCAGAACCTCACTCTGTTACCCAGGCTGGAGTGCAGTGGCCTGGTCTCAGCTCACTGCAACCTCTGCCTCCCAGGTTCAACGATTCTCCCGCCTCAGCCTCCCGAGTAGCTGGGATTACAAGTATGCACCACCATGCCCAGCTAATTTTTGTATTTTTAGTAGAGACAGGGTTTCACCATGTTGGCCAGGCAGGTCTCGAACTCTTGACCTCAGGTGATCCACCCACCTTGGCCTCTCAAAGTGTTAGGATTACAGGCATGAGCCACAATGCCCGGCCTCTATTCAGATCTTTTGATCATTTTTAAATGGATTATTAGACTTTTTTCCTATAGAGTTGTTTGAGCTCCTTATATATTCTGGTTAATCCCTTGTTAGATAGGTAGTTTGAAAATATTTTCTCTCATTCTGTGGGTTGTCTCTTCACTTTGTTGATTGCTTCCTTTGCTGTGCAGAAGACTTTTAACTTGATGTGATCCCATTTGTCCATTTTTTCTTTGGTTGACTGTGCTTATAGGGTATTACTCAAGAAATCTTTACCCAGTCCAATGTCCTGGAGAGTTCTTATAATGTTTTCTTTAGTTTGAGGTCTTAGATTTAAGTCTTTAGTCCATTTTGATGTGATTTGTTGTTGTTGTGCACAATGATATAATTTCAAATTATACCTTTTCAAATTGTCTAGTAAAATATATTTCATATACTTAATACTTCTATTAATACATTTTTCTAAAAAAATACATTTTTCTTCTCCAATGCAATAGATTTCCCTTCAGGTCAGTATTACCCATTAATGCAGAGTTTGGGGGAAATATTATTCCAACTTTGTGGATATAAGCCAGATTGAGACTTAATATCTTGTCAACCCATGATATCTGCACCTTTTATATTTGTGATTTCATTCTTTATGAGCAATGCCAAAACTCTATTTTCCCCTTCCTATATTGTTTTATCTCCATACATACATTTATTTACATCATTATATGTGTCTGTATTTTTCTTTCTGACTATTGAGTCATAGTAAAATGAGTTATCCTTACTTTCAGATTGTTATAAGAAATTCCCCCCTTCTCCATTGGTCTGTGATACTACCTTTCTCTTATGCTAAATCTCAATATATCAGAGTCTGCTTTTGAATTTCCCATTTTGAATGCTCCATTATGTTCCATAATGGAAACTGGTTTGTCTCTCTATTCATGTACCAATACTGCATGCACCAAAAACTATGGCCTTATAATATGTTCCAGTCTCTGTGGGTAGAATCCCTCATCGTTCTTTTTGCTCAGGAAATTCCTGAACCTTCATGTTTGTTCTTTGTATGTGGTGAGAGACAGAGGCTTAGTTTTATTCTTCTGCCTATGGATATCCAGTTTTCCCAGTAACATTTATTGAAGAGACTGTCCTTTCCCCAATGTATATCCTTAGCACTTTTATTGAAAATGAGTTCACTAGATATGTGGATTTATTTCTGGGTTCTCAATTATGTTCCATTGGTCTATGTGTCTGTCTTTATGCTGATACCATACTGTTTTGGTTACTATAGTTCTACTGTATAATTTGAAGTCAGCTAATGCAGTTCCCCAGTTTTGTTCTTTTTATTACAGCTTCAATCTCATTACTTACTATTGTTCGGTTCAGGTTTTGGATTTCTTTGTGGTTCAATCTTGGTAGGTTATATGTGTCTAGGAATTTATTTATTTCTTCTAAGTTTTTCAATTTATTGGCATGTAGTTGCTCATAGTGACCTCTAATGATCCTTTGAATTTCTGCAGTATTGGCTGTAATGTCTCCTTTTTCATTTCTGAATGTATTTATTTGGGTCTTCTTTTTTTCTTATTTAGCCAGGCTAAAGGTTTGTGTATTTTGTTTAACTTTTTTAAAAAGCAAGTTTTTGTTGATCTTTTGTATTCTTTGTTTCAATTTCATGTATTTCTGCTCTAAACTATTTCTTTTCTTCTACTAATTTGGGGTTTGGTTTGCTCTTGCTTTTCTAGCTCTTTACGATGCATCATTAGGTTATTTATTTGAAGTTTTTCTACTTTTTTGATGTAGCTGCTTATTGCTATAAACTTTCCTCTTAGTACTGTTTTCACTGTATCCCATAGGTTTTGGTATGTCGTGTTTCCATTTTCATTTGTTTCAAGAAATTTTCTAATTTCTCTCTTAATTCCTTCATTGACCCACTGGTCCCTCAGAAACATATTGTTTAATTTCCATATGTTTCTTATAGCAACAGATAGATGGATTTTTAAAAAAAATTCCATTCAGCCACTCTGTGTCTTCTGACTGGAGAATTTAGTCCATTTACATTCAATGTTATTATTGATAAGTAAAGACTTACTCCTGCCATTTGTTATTTGTTTTCTGGTTATTTTGTGGTCTTCTCTTCCTTCTTTCCATCTTCCTGTCTTCATTTGAGTGAAGTTCATTTTCTAAGGTAGTATGTTTTAATTTCTTGCTTTTTATTTTCTGTGTATCTGTTGTATGATTTTGTTTTGAGGTTACTATGAGGCTTTCAAATACTATCTTATAACCCATTATTTTAACTGATGACAACGTAATGTATTATGTCTTTACGGAGCTCTCAGTAAAGAGACTAATTTTGATTATTTAACGATGGCACCTTTAGGGGAACCATAGTCTAGTTCATCTTAACATACAATGTAAACTAGCATATTACTTTGTATGTAATAGGGACTGGATAAATATTTGCAAGATGAAAAAAATAGATGAATAAAGATAGGACGACAGTTTTTTGACAGTTTTGCTAATTTTATGCTTCCTTTATTCAACAATATTGAGCACCTATTATGCACATGACACTGTGCTGTGGAATTTGAGGGGCATATGAGCAGCTTCCAGTTTATACTGGAGATGGAAGAAGCAAGGTTGCACAAGAACAACCAGAATGCCAGGTTGAAAACATCTATTCCATAAGAGATATAAATCAAATATTAGGAGGAACTCTCAGAGAAAAAGATGCTTAGTGAGAAACTGGGTGCCATTTATCCATCAGAGTAACACATTTTTCAAGATTGGGCTCCTGATGTCTATCTGTGCAGGTGTAACTCAATAGATAGGCAGAGCATGACCAGTAATCCTTTTCTCATAGAATACATTCTAAAGATTCTCCTTTGATTTGGGGCTGCAGCTGCTAGTGGTCTCTTCATCTCATTTGGCCCACTGCCTTTGCTCAAAAAGAGCCACCGTTTCTATTTGTGGCATAGCAAACCAGTCTGTGTCTGCTGCTGTGGTTTCTCAGCAGCCAACAACTTTGCCACATTATTTTGAAATTGTAATCCAGTGCCCCCTTGAAGTATTGCTCCCGCTCCCTCCTCTTGCAGTTGCCCCACTTCACCATGCAGCAGCTGCTTGTGTATTCTGCTGCCACTATTTCCAACACCCAGCCCGCCCAGAGTTGTGTGTGACAGCTCAGCTTCAATGCTAGTAAACTGGCTACTTTCCAGTATTGTCATTCAGACTTCCAGAAAACATACCATGATAGTAATGTTCATAACTGATACTTTCTAAAGCCAATTAAAGGGAAGTCTGAGAATTGTTCTTAAAAATCTCACTTGATATTCAGAACCAGTGCAAGCTGAAGGAGGTATCTACTCTGTGAGTCCTCTTTTAATTGCAATTTTAAACGAATAATCTTGCTTCTGTTTTTTTTTCAGTCCAACACATGTTTATTGAATAAACAAATGTGGTGACTAAATCACAGAAATTAACATAAAAATTGACAGGCTACTAAGAACATATAGAAACCATTAAAGAATGATACATATTATATCCCACGTCTGTGTGGGTATTGCAGTAACACAGGCTGCATAGACTGCTTCTACTTTGCCTAATTGTGGGTCCTAATGAATGTTACCTGCAAACTTAACATATTTATCTGTCCATGAATCAAAGCTATAGGCATGCTACTTTCCCATTCTGAAATACAGAAACAAAGAGGGAAAAAAAGAGAACGTAAAAATGAAACAAGAAAATGCTCATGTAAGGAGCAAAGAGGTGCCTGGGGAGGAGGGAGGTAATTGCGGAAGTAGTCAAGAACCTGGCATACTTTGGCACAAAACAAATATTTCTGAATAAATAAATTCATAAAGGAGTGGTAATTGATATGACGAAGTCTAATAGGGAAAGTTGAGGTCTAGTAATATGAAAAGTTGTAATTTTAACCACTAACTCTCTTGGGTGTGATTAACTTACCACTGAGTGGGTCTTTCTTAATCTGGCTCAGTGATACACACGGTTTCACTCCCCATTGTCTTAAAAACTGTTAAGGTTTGAACCTTGTGCTCAAGGCTATATGCCTGATGGAAGGAAAGCAACCTGTATTTAAGGAGTTTAGGAAGACCACCAGAGGAAGTGATGCTCCAGTACAGAGTGCTCAATAAATATGTTGATTGAGTCCACTATAAATTCATAATCACAATCTCAAATAAGCCAACAATCCTGACCATCAGTCTCATTAAAATCCACTGGCTAACTCACCCACCCACATCTGCAATGATATTTTCAAACCTTCTCTATTGCTTCCTTTTGTAACTGAGCTTCGGTTGATTTGTCTCCAGTGGAACACCTCATTGCTTCCTGGAAAGGATTTAATACTTACATACTTCTCAGTGTGGTGACAAGTATGGTAATAGTCAAGCATTTGAGACAGAGTGAACAGAAAACTGAGCACCCAGTCACCTAACTAGGCTTGTATAAACAACACCTTCCTTGCTTCCTTTATATTGCTTCATGGGATTCATTAACTTACCAGATATTTATTGAACATCTACTTTAGTGGTTCTCAAATTTTTGGCCCTAAGGACTAAGGACTCTTATATATTCTTAAAAATTATTGAGGACCCCAGAGAACTTTTGTTTATGTAGGTTATTTTGATTAACATTTATCATTTTAGAAATTAAAACTGAGAAGTTTAAATGTGCTGAATTCACTTGAAAATAACAATAAACCAATTACATATTAACATAAGTTATGTTTTACTAAAAAAAAACTGTATTTCCCGAAACAAAAAATTAGTGATGAGTGGCATTACTTTACAGTTTTGCAAATCTCTTTAATGTCTGGCTTAACATAGCTGGATTATCATGTCTGCTTCTGCACTGAATCTGTTTCATATGTTGCTTTGGTTGAAGGATATGAAGAAAATATGACCTCGCACAGAAATGTAATTGGATAAAAAAGGAATATTTTTATTACCCCTTCAGATCATTGTGGATTTTTTTTAATACAGCACCAAAATTCAACAAATGGTAGTTTCTTAAAGGTTAGTTGCAATGTATTACAAAAATCTGAAATGATATCTTGTACTTTGAATTGGTCTTTTACCACAGAAGATTTATGACATCATGAGTTGTTAATTTGGAAAATATTTGCTTACTGAGTTATACAGATCTTCAAATGTTGATACATTTCATTACACAATATCACAGAAATTGTAACTGTTAATCTCACCACTGATCTCATCTGAAAAATCTTTAAATATTAAGAAGCTGTCAAAGTTTATGGTAGCAGATACAAAGTTTTCCAAAATTCTGATTTTACTTGAATGCTTGAATTTTATTATTGGCAACAAATATTGTCAGTTGTTTTCCTTGAAATGACAGTTTTACTATGTTAATTTCAGGGAAAATATCTGCCAAATACCTGTCAGTTGTTTTTTCATGTAAAAAATGGTATTCCATGACAAAAGTGGCTACTTCAGCCTTCCACTCAGTCACACAAGTACTTTTCCTCTAGACAACCATTGTACTTGGGTATGCAGTGAAATGCTTTATGTGTACTTCTCATTTTGTCACACAGAATATTAAAATGATGTATATTCAAGAATCAAGATTCAATAAAATTGATTTTGTTTTTGCTGCTTCATAAGGGCATTCCTGAGACTGGCTTTTATTTTTTAAGGTTTGTTTGTTTGTTTGCTTGTTTTGAGATGGAGTCTCGCCCTGTCACCCAGGCTGGAATGCAATGGCGCAATCTCGGCTCACTGCAACCTCCGCCTCCCGGGTTCAAGCAATTCTCCTGCCTCAGCCTCCTGAGTAGCTGGGATTACAGGCATGTGCCACCACACCTAGCTAATTTTTTTGTATTTTTACTAGAGACAGGGTTTCACCATGTTGGCCAGGCTGGTCTCAAACTCCTGACCTCAGGTGATTTGCCTGCCTCAGCCTCCCAAAGTGTTGGGATTGCAGGTGTAAGCCACCGCACCTGGCCTATTTTTTAAGTATTAATATAAGTACGTGGCAGTGAAGAATACAATGAGTACTAGTAGAGTGATCCCACTGCATTGATCCCTGCAAAGGCATCAGCGATTTTACTTACCATTGGTGCAAATTTTAACACAGTGAAAAAGGCAAACATTTTAGTAGTAGTATAAAAATTGCTTTGATTTTGTAAATGCCTGAAATGGTCTTGGGACTGACAACAGTCCACAAACCTCACTCTGAGAATCACTGACTTACTGTCTGCATAGAATAGTGCCAATGATAACATTAAACTAAAAGACAAAGCAAAACGTTATGACATAGTAACCTGCCTTCAAAAATTTATAATTAAGTTGAATGACATGAAATTGTTATTTTTGTAGGCAAGCTTGAATATTGGCAATTTCATATCGCTGAACCTATAGAATAAAATGTGTGTGTATGGACCGGGCACAGTGGCTCATACCTGTAATCCCAGCACTTTGGGAGGCCAAGGCGGGCAGATCACTTGAGGCTAGAAGTTCAAGACCAGCCTGGGCAACATGGAAAAACCCCATCTCTACTAAAAATGCAAAAATTAGCCAGGCATGGTGGTACGCGCCTGTAATCCCAGCAAGTCAGGTGGCTGAGCCATGAGAATCACTTGTACCTGGGAGGCAGAGGTTGCAGTGAGCTAAGGTCATGCCACTGCACTCCAGCCTGGGAGACAGAGCAAGACCCTGCCAAAAAAAAAAAAAAAAGTATGTGTATGTATGTGTAATGAAACATGTCATATAAACCATGTAGATCTAAGGGAATGCAAAATTAGTACACAACCTACAGAAAATGCAGAGAGTTATAAGTTGAGAGGAGACAGGTATTTAGATTTTTATACAGTTGGGAGATGGAACTCTTTCCAAGTAAGGGAAATAGTGTAAGCAAAAGTTCAGAAATTGACATGAATGCAAATAAAAGATATTTATGATGTACATGAGGCATGAAGTCCTGTTTCTGAGGCTTGAAAGATAAAGAAAAAATTATACTGGGAAAGGAACAGACAATTTGAAAGAGTTCTTTAATTGCCAGTCTGACAAAGTTAACTTCGATGCAGAAAAACAAAGCCATAGAAGGTTATCTATTCATTCATTTAACACACATGTACTAAGAGATTACCATGTACCAAACATGGTGCTAGGCACTCAAGGAATCGAAGAACTTATTGTTTAACTATTGAACTTAAAGTTTGGCCACTGAACCAACCTTGTGCTTCAATCACATAGTAGTAAAGATCCTAACCGGCTGATCAGAACACATTATTGTATGTGTGTTTAATGTGTTATCAGAATGCAGATGAAAAGTCAATCAATTCAGCTTGGGGGCAGACAGAAAAGATTGTACGTTAAGAGATGACTCATGAGATTGAATAAGAGGAATAATAGAAATTGGCCAGATAGATGTGGGAGAGGCATATTCTGGGTTGGGGACATTGCACTGGCAAGGGCACTGTGATATGGAAAAACCTGGCACAGTTTGAAAATAAAGAGTGGTTCATTATGGTGAGAAGGTAGAAGTAAAGAACAGTGTGGTTGGAGTTAAGACTGGTAACCTCAAACTAGATTCAGGTACCAATGATCCCTATATTCTGTACTTTCGTAATTCACTGAGGCTTCTTCTTATGAGGCTATCCTAGCAGATCTGAGGATGGTCCGGAGGTGGAGATGCTGCAGGCCTGGAAAACAGTAGTTACAAAAGTGGACGTATCCAAGCTGGAGATGCTGAGGACTAGAATCTCTGCAGGGCAACAGGCATAAAAAGAGAGCAATTTGGAAACATTTGGTGGAAGAATTTGTAAAAATGTGTTAAACAATAGTGCAAAAAAAAAGAGAGAGAGAGAGAGACATTGAAGAAAAAGGTCTTGGCGAAAGAGAACAAGTTTGTTTGGGGATGTGTTGAGTTTCCTGTTGGAAACTCAGAAGAAAATTCAGGACTAAAACATACACTCAGGAGTCATTCACGTACAGGTGATTGTTGAAGAAATGGGAGCAAATGATCACCAATGTAGAAAGCATATGGAGTGGAAGCAGGAGTGCCAAAACACATGAATCCTGTTCTGGCAGGTGTCAGGAGAAAATGGATCTTAAGTGGGAAAGAATGAAGTAAGAGGTCAAATGTTTCTCCAAACAGGAAATAACGAGGCCTAGGTTCAGGAGATGGGTCATGGAGGTGAAGTGAAAGGGGCACATCTGACAGACCATTTGGTAGAAAGAATCTTTGAGAACTTGGTTACCAGAATTGAAAGAAAAAAATGAGTCAGAGAACATTTGTGTTGCTACATCTAGATTTAGAAAACCAGTAGGTCTTCCTATGCTATTTTTTTTCTGGTTGGATGTCTTGGTTTTTATATTTCTTTCAAGACTTCTGAAGTACCTAGTGGTCTAGAACCTAACAAAACCACCCTGAAAGCTGGACAGTTTGGGGCAGTATGTATAGCTCAGCAATGTTTCTGTCCCAAGCTTCATAGAGGACAATGGGAACCTCTTCTAGTTTGGCTTCTGGGTGTCCATTTCTAGGGAGCATAGTAACACTAGACTGGGTCTGAAATGGAGTAGGCCTAGGGTGCGGAGGTAGAGAAGACTGTGTCTCCCTTTGAGGGGCACAAAGAAGGAAATAAATTTTCTGGGAAACTATATCTCCACTTCATACAGCCCCCCACCCCCACAGTCGTGCTTACATTCTTACCCTCACTTAGAAAGCCCTTCATCACCATTTCCATCAATGAGAGATGTGTATGTATCCTTAAATTAATAAGGGGACATAGATACACAAACATATACGTTTTTACACAAATAAGGCATATCGAACGAACTGTTGTCTTACTTTTTCTACTTGACAGTGTAACATAGTGATTTTTCCATATGACTACATGAAGATCCATCTTACTCTTTTTTAACCACTTCCTAATATTCCAGAATGATATGGGTTCCCATAAATTATTTAACTGAAACCAAACTGATGAATATTTATCTTCCATTTTTACTAAAATGTAAAAGTTATTGCATATTTGTTTATCTTTGTGTAGGTATACTAATATTTCTGGGTATATTTCTGTAAGTGTAAAAGCCTGATTAAACATAACTATTATTTAAATTTTTATATAGATAAAAATGTTTAAATTTTATCATGTATTCCAAATTTCCTTTCAAAGAGGCTATGCTAATTTATATACCCATCAATAGTATATGACAGGGCTTCTTTTCCCCACATTTTCAAACTTTTAAATCTTTCTCAATTTGATAGGTTAAAAATATCTAATTTTAATTTGTATTTCCTTTAGGAATGAAGTTAGGCATCTTTTTATATTCTTATAATCCATTTTCTTTTTATGTAAATTGGCTGCTTAATTCCTTTGCCTATATTTCTTTTAGGATTTGTAAGAATTCTTTATTGATTAGCAACATTAACTCTTTGCTATATGTATTGCAAATATTTTTGCCACTTTATGACCTATTTTATTTTATTGGGGTATTTTCTTCTGAGATTTTTTTAAAAGAAATTTATATACTCATATTTATTAGTATTTTCCTTTATCATTTTTATGAAATAGTTTGGAAGGATCTGTCCTACTGTAACATGGAGAATAGATTGAATCAGGGAAGGAAAAAATCCAACCAGGAGACTGTTTAATACTATACAGAAATGATGGGATGGTGGCTTGAATTAGGACAGTGGCAGTGGGAATAGATGGAAATGAACATGTTTGTGAAATAGGAAGTAGAACTTGGAGACTGGCTGGGTGAGAGAGGGAAGAGATATGTTCAGGGATGATACACAGGTTTCTGGTTTGGACAACAGTATAGATTGGTTCACTAAGATGGAGAGCTCCTGAGAAAGAATAAATTTGGTTTAGGGAAGAGACTAGACTATTTTATTTATTTATAATTACCCTATTAAGGCTACGTAGAACTTCATTTTAAAGGTGACCATTATCAGTTTGTTCTTGTTTTCTTATCTCTCAATCTACCAACATCTATTTTTATTTAAGGTCGGCCTTTCTCAATGCAACTGGGTGTTTTCATTCTTTTTCACAGAGAAATAATTAAGTGAAACATCTCAGGAATTTTATTTAATATTTCTTAAGGATTACAGCTGCATCCCTATGTATCCAGTCAATAACATTATGGAAAGATTACACGTTATTTTATGTATGTATGTATGTATTTATTTATTTTTAATTATTTTTTTTGAAACAGACTCTCACTCCATCACCCTGGCTCTAGAGTGCAATGGTGCAATCTTGACTCACTGCAGCCTTGACCTGTGGGGCTTAAGTTTTCCTCCCACCTCAGCCTCCCAAGTAGCTGGGACTATAGGCACGCACCACCACGCCCAGCTAATTTTAAATATTTTTGTAGAGATGGTGGTCTCACTATGTTACCCAGTCTGGTCTCGAACTCCTGGGCTCAAGCAATCCTCCCACCTCAGCCTCCAAAGTCCTGGGATTACAGGTGTGAGCCACTGCACCTGACCGAATGTTATTTTAAAACTGAATTTTGCTGTTATCAAATATTCTACCCTGTATTATTTTCAGATGAGATAAGAAAAATGGACCATGATTAAAACAAAAAATATAACATTTTAATTAACTTGAAAATGGAAGCTTAGATTTTTGGTGTTTTGATTTTATACTAAAAATGTCACCGAATTCTTGCTGTTGTTTTCCTTTGCAAAATTGCCACTTGCAACTCCTGTTACTTTAGCTGAGTGCCACATCATACCGACTTAATGCTGCTGAGTTCTCTTCACTGTAATTGAAATCATGTTAAAGGCAGATATAGTACTAATGTGAACTGCAAATACCTCTTCATTCAAGAAGAAAAATTACAATAAGCAGCAGAGACCAAATTAACTGTCTTTCTTGTTCTATATGGTATTTCTGTAAATAAGAAATATACTGATGTCGAACATATTCTGACTTCAGAAACTTATCATCTGAAATAAGAGACCTCCAGAACTAGTTTTGGAAAGACTTTTAAACCTGGACAACTCCCTGATGTTATGAAGACTGACAGTGCTTCTGAACTCTAACAAGGAGATTTTATATAAGACTGTTCTTACTGGAACCTGTTTTATGTAAGAACATACTTAAAAAGCTAATTTCTTTTCTCCTTTTTGCACTGCAATCCACAAAGTGTGACTAATAATAGATTTAAATTTGCTAAGTGCATTCACTCCTTTGTGCCATCATAAAGAGAATCTATTACTGTAAAATTGAGGCTTAGTTCCAAATTGCGCCATTATGAAGTTTTCTTCCAGCAATGTTTTGTCTCTAATACACTTCCCTCATTGTAATTCTATTGCAAACCTGATGTCTAGCATCAAGTCTCACAATAATTATTTTAAATTGCTACTAGGAACAGTAGTCCTGGTGGGATATATTACTACCATTCTAACAAGATGAATTTCAATGCACTTGTAACCATATTATAGTATATTATGAAAGGAAGAAAATCTTTGAGTTTTATATCTATGGACATGCATGTAACAGAAAAAATAATTCTTATAAACTTCAAAATACTTTATATTGAACTTCCACTTAAACTAATTATAAGTCACAAGGACAAATTAGGATATTCAGCCACATGGCCCATTAATGGCATGCTGAGTGACTTGAAGTGAATAAATAATTATAAATATAAAAATATTAGCAATGCTACTGCTTAGATTATGCATAGTAATATATTTATATGATAGATTTTTAAAGATAATATAAATTAGATTGCTGCAGGATAAAGGCACCAAAAAACTATTAAAAATGAAGCTGATGTAAAACTTTATCCTTAATTTAATCTTTCCCAAGGCTTGAGGTCATATAAATAAATGAACCACTCCAAAAAAGTATGTTGAAAAATAATTTATTGTATAATGGAAACTATAAAAAAGTCATTCTCAGGAGTCTAAAACATTGAGTCTCCAGTTTACTAATAGACTATAGAGGAAAATACTGCTAGGGATCAACAAGGAGAGCACAGGCAAGCATGTTAAGTCTCCCTGAAACTTAGGCAATTTGTTTAACAGTAGTGTTACACAATACACTGTGTGTTTCATGAGTTATTTTACATTCTTACTGAGGGCATTCTAAAATTCACCTTACTAATAAGTTGCCTACAGGCTTACAAATAAACTGGGAAGATGATCACTTTTCAATTCACTGAAAGTGTGAATCTTGAATTTGGTGCATAACAAAATTACTGTAAAGAAACAGTAGAGCCAAACTTCCCTGTTACAGATAAAATGATTATAAAATGATCTGAGATCAAAGCTATTTCAGTCTTAATAATTTAAATAAGTTGGCACACAAAATTTAGAAGAAATTCCAAGTATGAGTTCTGTAACTGCAGGAATTCTCTTAATAATGTTCATATAACACTACAAATGAAAAATCACTTAACTACCTAGCAAAATTGAAAGTTACTCCCCGGAGTGGACCAAATTGGGAAAAGTTAATCTGCATACTTTACTAAAAGGGGCAGTTGAATTTACATGAACAATTCAGCATTTTACCTTAAATAATAATTGAATGAACTACATTACATACCAACCAGCATGGAGCTACCAATGGAGTCGTGAGAGATTACCCCAAAATGGCATAGCAACCTTCTATTTATAATAAAGTGGTTCATTTTTATGCAATAACAACCATTCTGTAGCATTTACAGCATATAGAACAATCTGGAATTAGATCATCCTGTCTAGTCATTACCTTTTAGAAACTAAGAAAGTTGTCTTTTTACCATTAGGTCATCTCTAAAACTTTTGGTATTGCTTTGTAGCTTAGTTGCAATCACTTTTCAGTGATGTAGACCTGAAATCATATACTTTTGTTTCTGAAACATCAGTATTTGTTAGTAGAGTTATTTATTTTATGTGTCACTAAAATTGCATTTACTTCTATATTTATAGTTACTCCTTTATATATAAGTGTATATTATTTTAAATATACTATTGATGTTGCTGGGGGAAAAACAGAACCTAAGGCAAAAATATCCATTGTTAACAATGTTTTTGGCCATAGATCTATTCTCCAAGTGGCCAAATGCCTCCACATTATTCTATTCTATTGGCAAATGCCTTATTCTATTGGCAAATGCCTCCACAGAACTAAGCATAAGACTTCACCTCCCACTTTCAGGTTAGGGGAAAAGAAGTCCAAGTTAATAGAAAAATGATTAGAAACAGAAGGCGTCTTGACTCTCAGTTTTGTTAATGATAAAAAAATAAACTCTCCTAAACCTTTTATAAATTTCCACCAATACCCTTCCTCTTCCTCTTTTGAATTAAAAACTTTTTTGTGACATCCAAATAGAAACAGTTGTCCAGAAGAGCATATGAATTTAATGTTTCCCCAAGAGCATGACTGAAAAAAGATGCTGACCCTGTGCTTATCAATGCCTTTGAAATCATTACTGATTTTTAAAGGACAATAAAGAAAGCTGTTATTCATTTTAACATCATACACGTGCTCCATACATATTTCTTTTTATATTTAAAAATACCCACATTTGTGTGTTTGTATTTATTTAGATTCCTTAAATTTCTTGACAAGAGAATTTTGAACTAACTCCTTAAATTCTATGTTGCATACTTACTAGCAATTCATTTCATGATTGGGAATGTATTCTCCCAGCCTTTAGGTAAAATTAATTGGAAAGACTTATATAATACTGTATATTGAAGATCTTCAGAAGAAAACCATGTACCAACTAGCCAAATGCCAAAAATCTTAAGAGACTGAGAATATCACGTCCTTTTAGATTTCCTAACCTTGTATGATCGTAAGTCACTTTAGTCTCTTGTTACACTATAGATTCTCAGGGCTATTCTCTAGCAATTCTGTTTGTATAGACCTGGGATATGTAAGAATCTATAATTTTTAAAATCATCTTAGATATGTTGAGAAACCCTCTTGACTAACCTCAAATCCAATTTTTTGCATTTAAGAAATTTAGGGCAATTGGGAGTAAAATAAAGCACATTTCAATGATTTTTGGCAAGATTAACTTGCTTTTGAGAACTAAGTAAGTTGATGGCACGAATCTAAACAGAATTCATTTCTCTAACATCTGATCTTCAGTGAATGTGTTTGTATGTGTGTTTGGAGTATTTTGGTTCAAACAGGTTTTCTTTTTTAAAATATAGGTTAAGCATGGTCTGTGTCTGAAGTGATGTGTTTGATTGACAGTGAAGACAAGTAATTATCTGACATATCCTGGAAGCATGTAATGAAGAAATCATAAACCTAGAAACGACCCCAAGAGTTCTAGTCTAGCAAACTACTTCCTAGAAGGAACTACATCTAAAGTCTCTTATAGAGAGTATTTATTTTTATCTTAAATATCTGAAGGAAAGACATTTCTTTAACTGCCCCTGTTAATCTCTCCCAGTACTCCATATGGAAATATTGTAATTGGTGTAAATTTTTTAGTTGTCACATGTGTCCCTTTTTTTCTTTTTAGAAAGAAAATACAGCATTTTTTCATTTATTTGAGCATTCCACAAATTTATAAAACAACTAAATTGAACGAGATAGGTAGGTAGGTAGGTAGACAGATCTTTAATTGTCACAGAGAGATGAATATTAACTTCTTACAAGTGAACACAAGATAAAAATTTAGAGTAGTGGTTCTTACCTCTCTTTTGAAACAGGAACTCCTTTGAAGTTCTAAGAAGAGCTCTGCCTAGAAACATGTAACATACGTATCTACCTCCAGAACTTGCCAACACTTTCAGGAGGTTCATGGCCCCTGGAAGCCTCCTAGGTTGATAAGCACTAATCTGGCAGGAAGAAGCCATCCCTGAAATATTGGGTGTTCAGTACATTTCCTCATATGTTGAAGAAGGCAAATTATCATCAAAGCTCAAATAATATCAAACACGAATTTATTAATAATACTTTAAAAATCAGAAGATGAAAATTAAACTATATTGCCTATGTAATTATACTGTAAATCTGTGCAGCATAAGAGTGCTATATTTCACCTGAGAATAAGCATTACATGATTTTAATTTTTTCTAGCTTTTAACAAATAAAGTTGAGCAGTGAATTTACATTTTCTAATAACCTTGCACAGAATATTCATATACAAGAAAAGATAGTGATTATCCTAACTGCTATAGGAGTTAGTGATGAGATCAGCCCATAGAGCTCAGAAGGCTATTCTTTGAGGAACCCCAATACCAGAGATTTAATAATAGAGACATGAATAGGAAAGAGATGACTGCATTAAAATGAAAAACTTGTTGATGGTCCATCTGTGGGGAATATGCACATTATATCTTGAGTTTTCTGCTGTGTCTGCCATTTCCTTCTTGAATCACATTAGTGTTAAGACCTATTTCCCAAACAGCTCCTCATTTTACAGAGCAACCCCAATGGTCCTTGACTTCATCCTTCACTAACAAAATCAAATTCAAGCCAATTACCTGAAGGGAACAAAGCTTTACAGGTATACTTTAACTTACAAAATTACCATAATTGGCCAAGTGTGGTGGCTTACATCTGTAATCCCAATACTTTGGGAGGCTGAGGCAGGCAGATTACTTGAGCTCAGGACTTCAAGACAAGCCTAGGTAAGATAATGAGACCTCGTCTCTATAAAAAATACAAAAATTAGCTTGGCATGGTCGCTTACACCTGTACTCTTAGCTACTCAGGAGGCTGAGGTGGGAGGATCACCTGAGCCCGGGGAGGTCAAGGCTCCATGTGATCATGCCATTGCACTCCAGCCTGGGCAACAGAGTGAGACCCTGTCTCAAAAAAAAAAAAAAAAAAAAAAAAAAAAAGCCATAATTCTGAAAAGTTCTAAGTAAATCAATTTTCTCCTAAACAAGGTTACCTCAGGCATAAGAAAAGCATACAATTTAAAAATATCTTGTGACTAATAATTTTAAAAAATAAAAACCATATTTCTGCCCATCTCCCCTGCCATCATGTGGTTTTCTCTTCCACAATACTGAGCAACTAATTTTCACACAACACCGTATCTCCATTGATGGCGTGGTGCAGGGTTGCACAGAGTGACATCTCTACCTTCCATAGCTATGCCAAGCTGCCTCTCCTACACTGCTGGTTAGGCATTTTCCTCATCGAAAGCATTTTCCTTAAGTATGTCATCTCTGTAAGGCCTCTTCATGCTTGGTATCTAGGGTATGTTTTAGGCACTCTTATAAAGTTTGTTTGTATAATACATCAAACTAAAATTGCTGCAATGACACAGGCCCAATAGGAAAAATCGATGCCTTCCCAATGTCATGATGCTTATCTCTTCCCCTATTTTACCCTTTCCGTAGGGTCCACAGTCATATATTTTTCTATCCCCTTCCAATCAAATGCCATTGTCATGACTAAATATTTATTAATATCTAGTATGGATTCAAAGAGATATAAGACATGGTCCTCGTGCTTACTGTCTAGTTAGGAAGTTAGACTATGCAAAAAAAATGATTAATAACAATATGAGGTAGCACAGACTAAGTGATACATGACACTTTCTAATTTATCTGTTCAGCAAATCCAAATTTCCATACATTTATGTTGCTTAAAGAGAAATACATCTGTAATCCTTGACTCACTGTGCCTTTTCGCTAAGCTGTGTCTTCTAGCATAATGAAAAATAATGTGATAATATAGTGACATATTACTGTGTCTTCAGACTGTTTCCATAGAGGCAGAGCACTCTCATGGGTACCGCAATGGAATGAGATACAGAAGACCAGGATTCTAATCTGAGAAATACCTCTGACATTTTATGTGACCTCAGACAAGTGACTTAACCTCTCAGTTTTGAGCTTTTTCAACTGTAAAGTAAGCTTAATTAAACTTGTCAATATCATAGAGATGTTACGAAGTCTAGCTCATTAAAGCCCATTAAATGTTTTGAAGATATAAATTATTTGCTTTACAGTCATAAACAATAAGCAAAAAAATCAAAAAGTCTCATTTTAAAAACCTCATTTTTGTACAATTGTCACAAAAAATGATGCTGATGCCCTCTAGAGCCTAGTTGTAGAGGTGGATTTACACTAATCCGTCCATGCTCTCTCATTTGGTTATTTTGGTGACCAATACCACTTAAGACAGCTGGATAGGATGAGGTATCCGTCTGTGACCACAGAACAAAGTAAAGCTAACTGGCCCCTGTGGAATTGGACCAATGACGTAGGTCTCATTAGCACTATCTGCTAACCAACTGAGCTAATTGGATACTATGTTGATAATAATGTATCAAAATATGGTTTGGTTTATTTTTTTCCAAAGCTTTCCATATATTTAATTTCTATAACCATAAAAATTAGTTTGAGTAATTAGAGCCAAAGACAATAAGCTAGACATTATTAGAAGCCATTAACCTCCAAGGGAATAACTCTTGCTGTCCCCAATAGGCCTGTAGTCCTCAGCAGGCTCTTGACTGCCCTGAGAAAGTGAAGTTTCAGAATGGCAAGGCTAATAAACCCAAGGCCCTCCTGATGAGATTAGGAACGGCTCTTACGCGTCTCTTGCTCACTAAGAGTCTATTGGCAAGAATTAGAAATTGTTCTAGTCTGTGAGTCCTGTGGAGGCTAATAAAGTGACAGTGAAGATGCATTGTGCTACAGAAAACAGTCCTAAGTACTAAATAAAAAATGCCTTAACACTGAGCTCATAACTTTACCTCTTGGGATTGATGATATCTTTTGGCAGATAGCATGAAGCAAGCCTTAATGAGGAACTGATATTAGGCGGGACCATTTCAGTAATTCTTAGTTCTTTGAACTTTGAGGCAAGGTTAATGTACATGCTATTTCACGGAACCAAACAAAAATATATGATGTTGAAATATTCCCTTTCTAGAAATATGAGAGTAATAGAACCCTGCAGTGCTAACAAAGTAGCATGTAAATCTTAGGGCGTATACTTGAGATTTCAAGTAGAATGAATGGCCTATTTGGCTCAAACTAGGTAAAGTTGAATTCTGCAAAGCTAAAATACTGGAAATTAGCTCCATGATGTATTAACCCAAATAATAATGTTCCTGACGTAAAAAAAGATGGAAATTAAACATCTAGTTATGAATACTGCGTCTGCACAATGTGCTGCATGCACCGCATGTGTTAGAATTTCTTCTCAGTTCCTTTTTTAATCTTTTATTCATAGCATTGCAGGTGATGAAAAATTTATGCCTTGAGTCTGGCATTGAAATTAAATGCAAAATGAAAACAGAAGCAGTTTATACTGACAGCTTAAATATCTTTATCTAGCATACGGTTGCACTATAAAAATCACTGGGTGACTTTTTAAATCTCCCACATGTAAAAAACCAAGAGTTGTACAATAATGAATAAAGTTATATATCTAAGATATCAACAGAAAAGTTGTATTTTATTAGCATTCTTTGTTAATTTCATTTTGCTGTATTCTGTTTTTGTTTAATGGGCACAGACAGATGAATACAAGCTTTTAAAAATATTGCACAAATTAATTGTTGATACTAATTCCTCAGAGTGGTAGGAAACAATTGATTTTTACAGCATTTTTAATAAGTGTGATTTCCCATGTAGGTTTATGTCTTAAGCTGAATAGAAAACATTAATCTGTACCGAAGGTAGTTATGCTGTAGTAAAGGTTAATTATTCAGGTGAATCAGTCTGTTCATCACTATAGTAATATGAGTGATGCTTGTGAAGGATGGCAATAATTACAATAATATCCACAGTTGCTAGGTATGTAAGCATTCAAGAGTATTTCTTTCCTTAGAATAGTTGCAGGTAATTTTGTAACATTATTTTATTGGTCACAATTCTATTCATAAAATGAGGTTCCCTGTAAATGGTTCCTATTTTCTGGAAATGTTGAGTCTTTTGTCCTAGGCATATCTGTATATCCTATGCTGCATTAAAATGCTCATTGTGGCTTTTGCTGATGAACTAATGCTAAATTTCAAATAGTTAACTCATAATGTAAATTAATTGAAGAAAATAATTTCCTTTTAATTTTGTGAACAATGCACACAGGTTTAAAATACACTCACTCACTCTCTCTCTCTCTATATATATATACACACCCACACACATATATGTACATGTATATATATTTATGAGAATTTTAAAAATAGGTATAGAGTTATTTAGCATTTAAATAAGTAAAGCATGAAATTTAGAACAGTCTGCAGTTACATAAAGCACCAATACTAAAACAACCACTTAGATTTCCATATTTAGAAGACTTCAGCACACAGCTTAAAATATTTTACACTCAGCCTCTGATTTGTAGCTCTTTCCTGGCTGTTTTATGTAAACATACTGTGTATAATTATGCAGATAATTTTATACAATATTAATTGTGCTAAGAGTGTAGTGAAAGTGTGTTTAATTCAGTAATTCATTTACATTTTAATGATTTTAATAGCATAAGATTACCAAATCAAATTGAAATATCTGTGACCATTATACTATGTTGTGTGAAGAGTTCAAATAGTCATATTGCTTTATATTATACAGAATATATTTATCATGTCTTGTTAATGACAACCAAAAGGAATCTTAAAATATCCATAATGAAAAAACTTTTCAATTCAGTTTTTATTCCAACATTAAATATACTTAGAGAGTGGTACCCAAATGCAATAACATATCAGATATCAGATTATAAAGTATATTTAATACCTGTTTTCAGCACATGAAATGTCGAGTTGGCCTGCATCTTTGAAATACAGTTGGTGCACTGTATTACATTATTTCTTTTTTGCAAACAACCTATACAAAAAAAATGCATTTTATTTATTCCTCTTTAATGTAAGAAGAATGTTTCAAGGTGTTCAATATGAGAAGCAAGTGAATTACTAACTTTTGCATGTAAAGATAGCATCTGAAGCCACTCTCCAAATCAACAAATTTCAGGTTAGCATTTCTTTCTTATTTCTTTCATCATGTACAGATTTAATATCATCAGGAATAAATCTAAGTTGTTTGCTTCTTTCCTCCTAATTCCTGAAGCAATGTAAAAGTCTAGAGAGGTTTGAAGTGACAGGATTACAAGCAGTCTTTTGCATACATGGCCTTTAGGGATAAGCGGCTACCTTGCATCTAATAAACAAGAAAGTGAATTCATTGAATAATGAATTAAGTGGCATAAGTTGTGATAACAAGGAGCAAATGTAACTTCAGACGAATAGTATTTGCTTTGTGTGGGGTTATCTGAGAGGGCTGACGTTCCGCCAAGGGAGACTGAAAAAAGGCTCATTATATTAAGATGTTCTTTTACAGAACACAGTCTAAAATGATCTTGCAGTTTTTTCCCCTGTTTGCTGAACTCCTTTGTGTGCTTCTATCAAATCAACCATCTCCACCAGGGGGATAACTAGGATTCTTTCAGACTGTTGAGTGTTGTCGAAAATGAAAATTCCTGGTGAGTTTTAGATGGGTCACCCAACAATGAAATAGAGATGTCTAATTGGTTCGTCCATATTAGGGTCAGCAGCTGGTTATGGAATAAAAGGTTGTGGTGCCCCATTGCACACTTCTGAACCAAATTAAATTATTAATCTACTCTTTACTTCAGTGTAGCTTCACGGGGATTCCTAACCTGCCATGCTGAATAAAACAGAACGACTGCTTTACATTTTCATTATGGAGAATTATATTTTAAATTGCAAACGTTCTTCTATTTAGTTTGCATTGCATATCTCATTGGATATGTAGAAATGTCTTCAACAGTCAGTGCTTATAACTTGTTTTGTTAATTTCTAATTGTAGCTATAAATTATGAAACCACCAAAAAAGATGATTTGCATGCAGTGCCAACTCTCTAGCCAGAACCAGTTGAGCCATGAAAAGCAAAGTCAAGTCTTAGGGGGCCATTATCTTTGACTCTTAAATTCAAAAGATACAATTAAATTAGTATGTTGCAGGAGGCTTTGTAATCTAACATGAGCTTCCGGTTAATTCAACCAAGGTTATTTCATGATAGCAATTTCTGCCAGGGTGTCAAAGTACTAGTTTTTGTGCCCTTGTATAATTATTTTGACTTTTTTGTTATATAACTACTCTAAAGTGAATATTAACTTTGTGGAAGATTATAGCTGCATTCAGTTTTCTCATAGCATGTAATAATGTCTTAATAATTATATTCTGTTTTCAACAGTAGGCATAGTTGCAATAAAAACATTTACCATATTTTCTTAGAAATTATTTTACAAGTTATTTTCAATCAACATTTTAATATATGCCAACTTTGGACTTTTACTTTAAAATTGTTGAGTTATGAGAGCCATAGTAGAATTAAGTTTAAAAGCTGGTTGATCTTTAAAATGTAGTATGATTTCTAAAGATAAATCACTTAGTAATCACAGCCGAATGAGGGTTCCATTTCTGATGTATTGGATTGGCTAAAGTTTTGAACTTCAGTCATTGGTTCATTTGTGTGTTGGTGTGCATGTGTGTATATTAGCTGAGTCTATTGGAAAACATAAAAACCTGAAGACCAGTGAAGACTTTTTATAAACTAGAAATATCTTGTAAATAATCTAGTTTGTTCATTTATTCATCAAAAACGTATTTACTGGACATCTGCTCATACCAAGTACTGTTTTAGGAACCATCTGAACAAGACAGAGTGAACAAGATAAAGTCCTCCTGTTGTGGAATTTACATTTTAATGGAGGGGAAATAGATAACTTATATAAGTCTATAAATAAATTAGCAAAAAAAAAAAAAACCAGCAGAGCAAAATATTGGGGAAAAAAGCAAAATAATATGATGTCACATAGAGTGACAAAAAAAAATAAGGCTTCTTTAAACAGAGTTGTAAAGGAAGGCCTTTCTGAGGAAGAAGCATTTGAGCTGAGACCTCAGCCATGAGAAGAGCATTCCAAACAGAGAGAACAGCAGGTTATCAGAGCCCTGGGGTGGGAATGAATTTGGCATATGTGAGAAACAGAAAGAAGCAAAACCGGCTTCATGGGCATGCAACCTGGGTGTTACACATGCCCTCATGCTTAAAGGGCCCCCGTTTAGTGCTCTGCTGTCACTACCATGAAATTCTTACATTTTTAACAAGAGGCCTCACATTGGTCTTGCAAATTACATGATCAGTCCAGAAAAGAAGGCTAATATATCTAGAATATAGTGGGGTGGAAGGGGATTGTAGCAGGCAGCAAAATAAGGCCAGTGGGTGATATTTCTGGGTATATAGGGCTGGCACTGGCATCAGTATACTTTGTGAGAGATTAGTTGCACTTTACAATATAGCCATTTTTGTCTGCTAGGTGGGAAAATGGAAATGCTGTTTTTGTTCTATATTTACCCAAATCCTCACATACAGAAGATAAATTCCTCAAAGTTAATGTTGGTGTCTTCTGTGTATTGTGTGCACTTCACAGCATCATGTGATTAGATATTCCACAAATAATAATTGCAGCTAAAAGGAATTTGCCTTCTCTTTTAACCCGATCGGGCTTCCTTAGGAAAAAAAAATATAAGATATTTGGTGTTCACATTTTCATTCTTTCTTTCTTCCCACAGTTATATTATAGCACCAAATCTGTGTGACCATTTAACAATTAGGTTAAATCATGTAAAATTGCCTATATGCAACCATTTGTTACCTAGAAAATGGCAATTTCAATGGTTCATAGCAGGCTGAAATTGCAGGTTTATTTAAGGAAGTAAAATAGAAATCTTAGAAGCATCTTTGTAATCCCTGCAGGATTACTTAACAGAGAGGGGAAAAAACGTAGTTCAGGGTTGTTCATTAGAGCACCACAGTGCACACTGCTGTCAGGTTCATGCTGATGGGTTGGTTTCCTTAGAGGTAAATCCACATTGCAGCAAGGTCTTTCTGCCAGTCAGCAACTTCTCCTTCCTCCCTAACCCACCTCACCAATAATGGGGTCTATGGACTGACATCCACTTTCTACTATGTTCTGTATTACAGCAAGAGATGAGTTGCCAGGAATTACTATGTGAGTGACCCAAGGCCGAGCAGTAGCTCAGACTTGCAACAGGTTACAGAGCTTTGGTCTACAGGCTATTATTCACTGATGACCTTTCCTCTAGGCAAATCTATTTCCATTTGTGTTGATGACCATGATAATTTGCCAAGTGATTACTAAGTACAATGAATTATGGGGTCCTGTGACAGAATCTGGCCAGCAGAGGTTTAATTGTGTCAAATCAGGACACAATTTCACTGATCAGGACAAAGAGGAGATTTTGTCATTCCAGACAGGTAATGAGCTGGCAAATTCTCAAAAAAATTCTTCTGAATGAGAGGCTTTTGTTGTTTGCTTCTTAATGTATCTTTGGGAAGGTTGCTGGTTCTAAGTAATCATTGTCAAGTAGCTTCTTATCTGATACTCTTTTGCATTTTAGCAATACCCTAAAATCCCACTCATTTATGATTATTCTACTTGCACATTCCATTTCTTGCACTTTATTGCTTTCTTTGCTTTTCCTTGAATCTTTCACACTTTGAACCACACACCTATCTATACATTTTTTGAGTTAGTAGTGAGATCATGAATTCCATTCTTAGTAACCTAGCAAAAATGAAAAACTCCTAAGAAGTTTTAGCCTTCCCTTGAAAACATTTTAAAATATATTTATTACCCCCCCTTATATTTTCCTAGTAAATCTCCATTGCCTTCTACTGAAAGATGACTACACATTATCTACTCAACTCTACAATCCTAAAGTATTAATAGAAGAGTGTGTTTGACTTTTTCCCATGCTAAAAAGGACCTCCAAGTTAAAAGTAAAAAAGATTCAACTATTTGGGATATTTTAATCTGTATTTTCTTCTGAACTTTACACTAGCACTGGAAATATTCTTCGAGTGAATGAATGGTCTCAAGGAACTTATTGTCTAGTGATGGAGTTGGACAGACAATGACAGCAAAATACGTGCTGGATAAAGGGAAGTGCAGATATTTATAAAAGCTCAGGGCAAGGACTCACAACCTGGTCTCAGGGAGTCAGGAAAGGTTTCCTGACATCTTCCTGACATCTAAGCTGAAATTAAACCTATTTTAAGGTCTGCACATGCCTCATTTCCCCTGGGTCGATGTAAATAAAATTAAGATGACTTTCCACAGAGCAGCATGCCAGGATCCTCCTTCCTGAATTCTAACACCTTTCAGATTTTCTTTCCCAAAGAACTTGCTCTGTTCTTTGTCTACAATGGGCTTGTTTAAACGTTTTATGCTCATTCATTACCGGTCAAAAGTAGTATGTTCTGTGATGATTACATTGGGCACAAAAATCCTGGGAAAAGGTGTCAATAACATCATAAACTACCACATTCAAAGATAACTTTTAGAGACAAAATACACAAAGTTCCCAAAGAAGCAACTCTCTAATAGTGGGAATTTCAGCTGCTATGGCACGTGAATGGCAAGGAGCTTCCCCCATATTTCTTTAAGTAGGCAGCTGCATACTTTGCCACCATTTTCTACCTCAAGAATGAACTTTCTTATTTATTCTCAGAATGGCAAAAGTGAAGATGAAGAGAATGAAGAAGGTAAGGACAATAAAGAGAGGAGAGAAGAGAAACGACCAAATTCCTTCCACTTTCCTTCCAAACTGTATATCTTTCACTGCTTAAAATAAATCACATCTTTGTTTCACAATCAACCTTACCAAATGAGGCAGGCTGACACTGTGTGGAAGGAGCATGGACTTTGCAGTCATAAAGTTCTGGGTTTGGATCTTGGCTTTGCTGCTTACTAACTGTAATGACTTTGGGCAATTTGCTGAACCTCTCTGAGATTCAGTTTCATTCAGATATAAAAATATCAATACCTAGCACACTGAACAGACAAGAGAATTATGGGACATAACTCATATCTGCTCTATGTATGCATTATAGCTATGGAGTGATCACCATAATGGCAAAGTTCTACTAGAATATTCTATAAACAAAGGGGACAATTACTATAAAACTAAACAAGGTAATGCATATGTAACAGTTTTCACCTTTGAGAGGATTCCTGTGGAATCTTCTCTGCTTGTTCAGTGTGTGCCACCCCACCTGACCCACCCACTCTCCCAAGGCACACACGCACCCTATCTGGTTACGGTGTGGTAAATTAAAGAGAGTGGGGAGAAGGAGTGGAGGAGACCTGGTTCCCTATCATAAGCTTATCAGTACTAATACTCTCAGACAAAAGCTATATCATCAACTTCCTTCACAACATGCTGTAGAAACCGTTGCTCTGGGAATCCCACTTCTAAAACTAGACACTATATACACAGGACAAAGAGAAGCTCTTGTTCACTTTGCCACTTTGGAAAATATTTTGCTTTGCCTCTTCCTGCCAGAAGAAGAAAAGGTAGCTCACTGTTATTATGATAACCTCATATTTTATTGTCTCATCAAAACAATAAAATGTTCTTGAAGATTGTTCCCAGGGTCTGTTTTTAATCTATATGGGAGAAAATCTCATTGTCGAACTAAGATACCATTATTGTGATATTATTCTCTCAGTTTCTCTAAGGATAAGGCTTTCCAAATTGAAGACAGATTATAGATCTGTGTTATGCAGAATTGAGGTCACACTTAAACTTTTTAAAGAACTGAGTAACTTAGGAAGTTGCTGAGTCAGGCTGTTGAGAAACAGCCTTCTATTAAGAGTTTAAAGAGGAAACAGTAAAGTATCTCCTGCCTCCTCGCCGCGCACCCACCAAGCCAATGGTAAGAATTGTGGTTTCTCAAGACCTCTTTTATACTCAAAGGTGATTCCATGAGGGTAGAACTGTCTCTACCATCATATGTCACTTTAGTCATATATCAGTCATATTAAGTTTTGAATTTCCTGTCTTTGTATCATGCTCATAGAGGTAAGTTGACCCCCGCATGCTAACTCTGACTCAAGAGGTTAGATTGTCCTCTGACAAGATCAAAGTGTTGATAGCTAGGAACAGACTTGTCAATAAATGGCCTAGAACTTGGTCAATTCAGACTGCTAAGAAGGAAATAAAAAAAGAAAGGGAGAAAGGGGTAAAGAGGAGAGAAAGCAAGCAAGTAGGTTCAAACAGGCTGCTCTTTTGAACCTAGGAATTAGATATTTTATTGTGATTTCTCTACTCAGAAATTCTGCTTATAAGCAGGCTTCAGTTTTAAACCATTCATCTCTCATTTCTCAACCAAAGTCTGGATATACACAACCAGAACAACTGTTTGCTGAGGGATTTATTAAAAATTTGGAGGTAAATTCTGTTATGAGACTCACTTTGGCATGATAATTGAGACTGCTGTAGAGGGAAGTTTCATGAGCTGTCTTGTGAAACACTGCCTCACTATCTTGAAATACATATCTAGAATTCAAATATTGGAAGGTAAGCCATGGGCATGGTAGCTCCACTCCCTTGCATTTTATCTTTAACCAAGGGACGTTTTAGCCTTTGGCCTCCAATTTCCTTAAATGTGAAGAAGATAAGATACCAGTATTTCATGTAAAAGATAATTTTCAATACCTATCAACTTTGAACAACTAGTAAGTTTTAGATTCTGGATTTGCTAGGTTGCATAGCAAAGCACTTAGTTGTGTTTACAAATACTAAGATTCAGTATATACTTTACTCAGACAATTATTTGAAGAGGAATGTTAAATGGAAGCATATGTACCCCATGTAAATGTAAAACTATAGAGTAATCATAATTGTGTCAATGGATACCATATAGAATATGGATAAACTGTTGATGTTATTAATATGATTTCATATTAATTGGAGGGGTAAGGTACCTAAAGGTTACTCCCTACTATTCGTCAAGTACTTTATGTTATTTATCTCACATGATCCACATGTCTGCTCTGTGAGCTAGGTATTGATATTTTTATACCTGAACAAAACTCAGAAAAGTGACTTGCCAAAGGTCACAGTAAGTGACAAAACCAAGATTCATGTAATCCAAGCTATGTGGGAGGCTGAGATGGGAGGATTGCTTGAGACAAGGAGTTCAGGACCAGCCTGGGCAACATACTGAGACCTTGTCTCCAAGAAAAAAATTTTTTTAAGTTAGCCAGGCATGGTGGTGCACACCTGTAGTCCCAGCTAGCCAGAAAGCTGAGGTGAGAGAATCACTTGAGCCCAGGAGTTCAAGGCTACAGTGAGCTATGATCATGGCACTGTACTCCAGTCTGGATGACAGAGCAAGACCCTGTTCCCTCCCCACAAAAAACCAAGATTCAAACCCAAAACTTGAATGCTTCCAAGTCCATGATTTTCTCACACAACATAATTCTGCTTCAATCAGGTAAAGCTGTCTGTAGAATAAAGATATGGTTTATTCTAAGAGGTAGTAGAAATATAGTTTACGAAGAAGGAAAATTCTTCCCGGTGCACAAACACAGACTTGGCAAATAGCAACGGCCTATCTCATGCTGCAAGACCTTCTTCATATGGTTAGGTTAAAGACAATCAAGCCCAGAAGCCTGGCTGGAACCAGAACCCCGTGCTAATACCTGGAAGACAAGTGGCATGGTCACCATGACAGGCCAGGAAAATTATCCAGAGAGCTTTGTGGATTCCTGAAAAAAGAGAGGTAGGAAGCAGAAAGATAGTGAAATATCTCTGGAGAGCCAAATCAAACACAGAGAAAACACTGCAAGACGATTTATAATTAAGAGCTCAATTTTGTGGTAAAAACTGCTAAATGCTTCAGGCATTTAGATGATAAATCTTTGAGGGCTAGCTTAGTCAGAAAGCCTGCGGTAGGGACAAGCTTCTTAAACTCACAAAGATGGATGTAAACAGGGAGGATGTTCCTAGATGTGTGGGGCAGGGAAGGGAGGGATGAGTATGAGGGAAGACACAAGGCCAGAAAATGAGTGTAACCTCTTCGAAACACTCTAAGATTTTATGGACCTAGGAGATGTGACAGTAATTCAGGGAATTGTGCATTCATTTAACTAGTCCTTTTTCACCACATAAAATTAGATCAAGGAACATTTTGGAACCCTTCTAGTGTAATGACAGCTACACTTATGGAGGTCTTGCTATGGGCCAGGCACTCTGCTAAGCATTTTACTTTCAGTTAATCTTAACAACTACCTATAAGGTATAGAAACTTTCAACTGCCTTACTTCCCACTTAAACAAAGCTAGCAAATGGTAAAGGCCAGGATATGAAGCCAAACAGCATGGCTCCAGACTGTTCAGCCCAGGATGTTATACCCTGCAAGGCCTGCCATTCAGGATCATAAGTATAGTTTTAAGCCCCTTTACCAAAGGCAATTACAGTTGTTACCTCTCAACCCACAAAGGTTAAAACATATGTTTCCAAGTCCTACTGTGTGCATTAATATAACAAGCAAGAATTTGATGAACATTCACTGTGCGCCAGGCATTGTTCTAAGTGTTTTACATGCATTAGCTGATTTAACACTCACAACCCATGGGGTGATAATATCTCAGGTCTTAGAGGAGAAACTGAGGCTTCCGTTGTTTCTATAACTTGCCCACAATCACACAGCTAGTAAGTGTCAGAGACAGGATTTCTACCAAGTTAGTTATGACAAAGGAAACAGAAAAATGCTCAACAGACTTGAAGAACTAAAAAATTCCATATAAGTGAGACAATAAGAAAAATGTACAAGGGGCCAAGCAGGTGGCTCACACCTGTAATCCCAGCACTTTGAGAGGCCAAGGCAGGTGAATCACTTGAGGTCAGGAGTTTGAGACCAGACAACATAGCAAAACCTAATCTCTACTAAAAATACAAAAATTAGCCAGGTGTGGTGGCAGGCACCTGTAATCCCAGCTACTTGGGTGGCTGAGGCAGAAGAATCACTTGAACCCTGGAGGCAGAGGTTGCAGTGAGCCGAGATGGCAGCACTGCACTCCAGCCTGGGCAACAGAGCAAGAAGAAAAAGGAAAAAGCAAAAGGAAAGGAAAGGAAGAAGGAAGGAAGGAAGAAAGGAAAGAAGGAAAGAAAAAAAGGAAGGAAGGAAGGTAGGAAGGAAGGAAAGAAAAATATACAAGGAGATGTCATTTGAACTGATATTTAATGGGTAGGATAGGTGGAAGGCATTTCAGAATGAGGGCTGAGGTCTGGGGTGGGAAGAGTGTTAGAAGGACTAGAAGCAGAGAGACCACTCACGTTAGGTGCTCAAAGAATTGTTGAATAAGTGAGCTGGTGCATGCATGAATATCCAAATGAATCAGCGGGGAATGAAAGCATGCTGATAGTGGTAATGGAAAGGAGAATAACAGAAGAGATATTATAGAGGCAGACTGCAGGATTTAGTAACTAATTGGGATTTTGGAAAAAGGGAACCAGAGAAAGAGAATGTTTAGATGGGGACAAGTTGAATCTGAAATGGCAACCGTATACTTTGAAATGTTCCTCAAGAGTGGGAAACAACATCTGGAATTTGGAAGCAAGTTCATTATACATACCTGTCAATCAACTTAGTTTCTAGTGTAGCAAAGAATTAATTCTAGAAAAAAATTAAAACTTTGAAAACACTTTTAGGCCATGCAAAATTTTGTAGAATGCTCTCTTTCCATATAAATGAGTTATTTGCTTTAAAAAGGAAGAATGAGAGAGAGATAAAGTAAAACAATCTACTGGTAATAAAAACACTGCCTTATTTCAAGCAGTGCTTCTATGAAGTAACCTTGGGATTATATACAAAGCAAATGAAAAGTAAATTGTGACTGGGCCAATTAGTACATTTCTTTTTAATGTTGAAGTTCTGGGAACCTGATTTACATTGAGGAGAAATTTGAGATAATGTTCTGGGAATGTGAGATGGAAATTTCCAGTCTGTCTAAGTCTTTTAAGAGGATAGCAGAAGTTGTACCTAGAATTCAAGTTTTAGTACGACCTCTTTGAAACTCCCCAAATGTAGGAAGGGTATTTTATTTTTAAATGCTTAAAATTCTTTACACAATCTACTGGAAAAAGAAAAAAGATGATGATTCATTCTAAAGTAATCTGTTCATTCATCATCAAGTGAATGGAACCATTTTCCAGCAGGTAGCTGTCCTTAAATTACTCACCACCCCGCAGTAAGTACAATGTCTGCAATTGTTAGGACACGAAATGTCTGGGAAAATAAGAACAAGAGGGAACTTTTGGCAAAGTGAAGCTATCAGATGATACAGATTGGGAGGCTTTGATCCTGTCGTGATGTGAAGGCTTCAGATGTTAATGATGACTATGTAAAACAGTCCAGTATGGAAGCATCTAAGATGAAATTCTTGTAAATTTTTGGCCAGGAACCTAAAACTTGCTTCAGTCTGTGGCTGAAATTTTTGTGCCAAATCAGAAGGCACTTTGCTGGTTCTTTTTTTATAGAAGGGCCAAATGAGATAGATTGGAAATATGTACTTTGAACAGCCAGGCAGAGTCTCAGGAAGTCTGCCAAACAAGATTTCCAAATAAAATGTTTGGGAAAGAAAACAGGGATGGACTTTGCAGATGCTGGATGGATTCCACCAGCCATCTGTGCAAAGAGTTACTTGGTGTCACATCAGCTGAGAGCTATGAAGTGGCACAAAACTATCAGCAATAACTTCATTGTTAAATGGATTCATTTATTTACCAGGCAACCTTTTATTTACCGAGATAAAGTATCTGAATGTATCTGCCTTTCCTGTGAGAAACAATAGCAATGACCAAAATTATTGAAACATAAAGGAATTTCGGCAATGGAACTATTACCTCAGTGCTAATGCATTAGCAGTTGAAGAAGGCAGATTAATTTACTTACGGTGAGCTAAGTGCATTCTTGGCTCACGAAGGGAATCATTTGCTCACTTAAGCCAGAGATCCCATTTTTGACGGCAAATGTCACTGCCTGGATTTCCCTTTGACAGTCTGGCAACCCCACACCCCTGTTATAGTATCCATTTATTTGTCTTATTTTCAGCCAGATTAATCCATTCTGTTTTGACAAGAAGACTGATGGGTAATTGATAACTGTGATAGACACAAACAGAAGAGTTGGATGCTGAATAATTCAGCACTTTTCAGTATCAATAAGAGAACAGGTTGAAGAATTTGTGTCTCTATTTACACTTAAACTAAACTAAGTCAGCCCAGACATTTATGCTGCCAGTCTATCAGAAAACCAAACAGTGTACATTCGGTTTCCACCCGACAAAATGTTTTATAAGCTTGTAACAATATGTGTGAAGCTGCCAGAATAATAAATAGGTACAGCAGCCCATGCATGCTAATGTTATGTTGTAAGCAGTTTTGTTGACAAGTGCTAATACTTCTTTCATACTATCATCAAAAGCAGCTAATACAACAGCCATTATTTGCTGGCTTTCCAAGCAAGACATGATGGATTGTGACCTTAATATGGGTTAGCCGAGTTTTGAAAGTTAAACAACTTGCAATAAATCATAGAATTATTACAATGCAGTTTAATTGGTTAAGGACTGTTTATTTCCTAAACAGGGTGAAAAATTTCTGTTTCGGCACTTTTAATTTGCAAAGTGCATTTTCATTATGAATGGCAGTTTAATATTCTGCTCTTTTGTCATGCAAAATATGCAACACACAGGCAATCTATTAATTGGACAAAAATGCATTGCAAGCGTAAATTATCCTTTATATCATCACTTGTGAGCTTTTACATCTATTAAATGTGTTAAATGGAACATAGTTAAAGACTGTACAACTATTTGCAGGCTACTTCTGAAATTTAAGTCAAGCTTCAAGATGATTTTAATGACCTTTATTTTTGGCAAAATAAAGTAATTAAGTAATTGTAAATAAAAAGGGCAGTTTAAAGAGTTACTCCTTCCTTAAGGCATAGGTGCATATGTTTTGTTGATTCAGCAGTTGCAGGAAACAGACAATAGCACTGTTTCATATTGATATGCCTTGAGAAATGGAATCAAACCTCATGTATTTACTTTTCTCTTTGCCATGGTATAATTTCTAGAGCAGAAATTTCCATTGGCAAACGTGTAGAAATAGGTGAGTAAGGCAGTAGCAAAATGATATTGCAGCATAGCTCAGCATAACTGAATAGCTGCCTCCATATGCTTTGGTTCAATGATGTGCCTTTACACAGGGCTATTTAGAGTGCAGAAACAGTAACAAAATACTTTGTACTAGGAATGTTGATATGACATATGTTTGATTTTCAGAATGCCAGATCTCTCAATGTGTTCCTGTAAGACTGCCTTAAAATACATACAACCTATTCATTTACACAGAACTCTGAGACCGTTTCTCATATTTATTGACACCTGTGTAGACCTTTTGAAAACTTAGAAATTCCACTGATTTCAAACATTTTCTATAGATTGGCCCCGATGAAGCGGGGTTACTATAGTGCTGTCACTCCAAGTCTCCTTCAAAGATACAAATTGTCAGTATTACAAAATGAAAGTTAGAAGTATACTTCAGACAGGCATTCCATTCATTTTTCCTAGGTTATAAAAGTGTTAATATGAGAGTGCATTCTGTTGTTTTAACAGAAAAACTAAAGAACAACTTTTACATACACAAAAGGAATACATTAAAATAAACTGTTCAGAACTTAGATGACAAAGGTAGAAACCAAAAGTTCTGCAAATTGAAGAAATTGTTCAACTTTCTTTATGTTATATAGTGGCACAAATGTGCCACAGTTTCTTAGATATTTCATTCTAAAAGAAGATAAATCTAGTTATAGAATTTTAATCTTGCACTAACGTTGATCATATTCCCTCCCATTTAAATGTCATGCTTACCTAAGCTATGTAATTTCTCTGCCTCAGGAAAAAAGAAAGAAATGGGGGAAGACAAACATGGGAATGCAGGCAGAGAGAGAGAGAGAGGGAGGGACTGTTGATATATTGTGTTGATTGTACTTTTTGGCTTCGCTCGTGGTGAAATGCTAAGGTAAGAATGTACTATTCAATAAGTAATATGGATTGTTAAAAATCAATTATCATTAACCATCACAAATGACTAAAATTTTTCAGTATAGATTAGAAAGTTTTGTCAGGGACATAGCCATGATTAGAAAAACATAAGTGAACATAACCAAAACTCTTAACTTATGAAGGCAATAAGTTGAATTGATTACAATACTTCCTTGGGCACTTTTCAAAGTCATAAGTTAACAGACTATATCTTGGATTTATATAAGAATCACAAGATTTTCTGAAAGCTCAGATGTATAAAACTGAGAGCACATTGGCTATAAACTGAATCATTTTGTTAATATAAATTTTCAGTTATCACTTTCAACTGACTTTTCCTCATATTATAAAAAATTCAAACCTATAGAAAAGTTGAAATAACTTTGCAGTGAATACCTGAACACCCATGATCTTGAGCTACCATTTTGCTACACTTGCCTTTTCATATACCTGCCCATCTTGCCACCCATCCATCAATCCATATAATTTTTTGATGCATTTCAAAGTCAGTTACAGCCATCGTTATATTTTTCCAGAAATCCTTCAGTGTGCTTATCATTAACTAGAGTGCAAAATTAATTTACAGTTCTTTTTTTCTTCTGAGAAATCTGCATGTCATGAAATGTACAAATCTTAAGTGTGCCATTTGATGAATTTCAGCAAACTTTTCATGAGTTTCAGACACGTAATGAGCTCTGTTAGATATTGATATTAAATGAAATCCAGTGAATACAGAAGACTCAAAAGCTCTATTTTCAAACTGTTCACCACTGTTAGACTGAGCTAATCTACAGGGCCACCTCCTACTTAGGACATTCACTTTTGCAGGTCTCTAGTTTATTCTGTTTTGCTAGGAAGAATAGTTTATATCATTGGGCTTCATCAACAATTATAATACTACTTGTTGTGTACCTATTACGGGCAAAGCATTTCACTGAGTGCTGTGAAGAGCATAAGGAGCCTTAAGATATAGAGTCCAAGATATGGAGTCCATCAAAGAGCCTGTGGTAAAAAATGTATACTACCAACTAAAGTGGGATAATACAAGATTATATACTTAGAAACCAAGCGAGTAAGAGAGAAAATGCCAGGGGTGTTTAGAGGAAAGTGGTAAGAATATCTTGGCGTTTGACGGGAGGGCTCCCTCAACTTCATCTTTCGCTTTTACCTTGCTGGCTTGCTTTCTTTTCCTCAAACACACTGAGCTTGCACCCTCATTGCAGCCTTTGTAGTTGTTCCCCCTTTGCCTGCTTTGCAACGTATGACATCCCAAGAGTCTCAGATGATGTAGATGACATCTACATTAAGCAGTGTTTCTTTTCATCTTACTCTATTTTTATGACACAACATTTTCTCTTTAGTGTGTCCATCACATGAGGAACACAAAAATCCTGCAAGATTTTTCAGTGTAGCTCAGTTTATGAAAGTATACCTACGGATTGTAAGCCTTGAATAGTTTTGTATAGTTTAACTTGGTATGGCTTTTGCATATATTATATAATTTTATGCTCACAATAATCTGTGAGATCTGCATCGCCTATACATATAGAGAACTTACACACACAGACACAGACACACACACACACACACACACACACACATATAGCCTATTTAGGCATACTTCAGAGATATTGTCAGTTTGGTCCCAGAGCACCACAATAAAGTGAATATTTCAATAAACTGAGTCACACAAAGTTTTTCCAGTGCACATAACACTTACGTTTACACTATACTGTAGTCTATTAAGTGTGCAATAGCATTATGTCTAAAAAACAATGTACATACTTAATTTAAAAATAATTCATTGCTTTAAAATACTAAGGAGCATCTGGGCCTTCAGCAAGACATAATAATTTTGCTGGTGTAGAGTCTTGTCTCGAAGTTGACAGCTGCTAACTAGTCAGAGTGGTGGTTGCTGAAGGTTGGGGTGACTGTGGCAATTTCTTAAATAAGAGAACAATGAAGTTTGTCACATCAAATGACTTCCTTTTATAAAATACTTCTCTGTAGAATGCGATGCTGTTTGACAGCATTTTACCCACAGTAGAACTTCTTTCAAAATTGAACTTAATCCTCTCAAACCCTGCCACTGCCTTCTCAACTAAATTTATGAAATATTCTAAATTCTTTGTTGTCTTTTTAAGTGTTTAAAGCACCTTCACCAAGAGTAGATTTCATATCAAGAAACCACTTTCTGTGCTCATTCATAAGAATCAACTCCTCATCTTTTCAAGCTTTATCATGAGATTGCAGCAATTCACTCACACCTTCAGGCTCTGCTTTTAATTCAAGTTCTCCTGCTGTTTCCATCACTTCTGCAGTTACTTCCTCCACTGAAGTCCTAAACATCTCAAAGAGTTGGAATCAACTTCTTCCAAACTCCTGTTCATTGTTGATATTTTGACCTCCTCCCACAAGTCACAAATGTTCTTATTGGCATCTACATTGATGAATCCTTTCCAGGTGGATTTCAAGTGACTTTTCCCAGGTCCATCAGAGGAATCACTATCTTTGGCAGCTGTAGTCTTACAAAATGTATTTCTTAAATAATGAGACTTAAAAGTTGAAACTACTCCTTGTTCCATGGGCTACAGAATGGATGTGGTGTTAGCGGCATAAAAACAACATGAATCTCCTTGTACATCTCCATTAGAGCTCTTGGATGACCAGGTGCATTGTTTCAAGGAGCAGTAAGTTTGAAAATAATCTTTTTTTCTGAGCAGTAGGTCTCAACAGTGGATTTAAAATATTCAGTAAACCATGCAATAAACTGATATCCCATGATTCAAGCTTTATTATTCCATTTATAGAGCACAAGCACAGGAGATTTAGCATAATTCCTAAGGGCCCTAGGATTTTTGGAATGGTAAATGAACATATAGGCTTCAACTTAAACTCACCAGCTGCATTAGCCTTAAAAAAAGAAGCAACCTGTCCTTTGAAGCTTTGGAGCAAGACATTGACCTCACCTCTCTAACTATGGATGTCCTAAATGGCGTCTTCTTCCAATAGAAGGCTGTTTCATCTACTTTGAAAATTTGTTGTTTAGTGTAGCCACCTTCTTCAGTGATCTTAGCTTGATCCTTTGAATAACTCGCTGCAGCTTCTCCATCAGCACTTCCTGCTTCACCTTGCACTTTTATGCTATAGAAACAGCTTCTTTCCTTAAACCTCATGAACCAAGTTCTGCTACCTTCAGACTTTTCTTTTGACACTTCCTCACCTCTCTCAGCCTTCACTGAATCGAAGACAGGGTCTTACTCTGGATTAAGATTTGGTTTAAGGGAATGTTGGTGGTGGTTTGATCTTCTACCTGACTGTAAAACCTTTTCCATATCAGCAATAAGGTTGTTTCACTTTCTTATCATTCATGTGTTCATTGGAGTAGCACTTTTAATTTCCTTTAAAAATGTTTCGTTTGCATTCACAACCTGGCTGCCTGCCTGGTGCAAGAGGCCTGGCTTTTGGCCTGTCTTGGCTTTTGATATGCTCCCTCACTAAGCTTAATCATTTCTAGCTTTTGATTTAAAGTTAGAGATGTGCAGCTCTTCCTTTACTTGTACACTTAGGCACAATTGTAAGGTTATTAATGGGCCTATTTCAATTTTTTTTTTTTTTGCCTGAGGAAAGAGGGAGGCCCAAGGAGAGGGAGAGAGACAGGGGAACAGTTGATTGGTGGAGCAGTCAGAAAACACATAACATTTATCAAATAAGTTCACCATCTTCTGTGGGCGCAGTTGATGCCCCTGCAAAACAATTACAATAGTGACATTGATATAGTTTGGATATTTGTCCCAACCCAGATCTCATGTCGAATTGTAATCCCCAATGTTGGAGGTGAGGCTGGTGGGAGGTGTTTGGATCATGGGGGTGGATCCCTCATGAATTCCTTGGGCCATCCCATTGGTGATAAGTGAGCTCTCATTCTGAGTTCACACAAGATCTGGTCATTTAAGTGTATGACATCTCTCCCTCACCTCACTCCTGCCTTTTTCATGTGATGTGCCTGTTTCCCCTTTGCTTCTGCTATGATTGACAGCTCCATGAGGCTTCACCAGAAGCCAAGCAGATGCCAGCATCATGCATCCTGTAAAGCCTGCAGCACCATGAGCCAATTAAACCACTTTTCTTTATAAATTATCCAGTCTGAGGAATTTTTTTATGGCAATGGAAGAATGGCCCAATACAAACACCAAAGACCACTGATCATAGATCACTTTAATACATATTTTTTTTTTATTTTTTTATTTTTATTTTTATTTTTATTTTTTTTTGAGACGGAGTCTCGCTCTGTTGCCCAGGCTGGAGTGCAGTGGCGCGATCTCGGCTCACTGCAAGCTCCGCCTCCCGGGTTCACGCCATTCTCCTGCCTCAGCCTCCCGCGTAGCTGGGACTACAGGTGCCCGCCACCACGCCCGGCTAATTTTTTGTATTTTTTTTTTAGTAGAGACGGGGTTTCACTGTGTTAGCCAGGATGGTCTCGATCTCCTGACCTCGTGATCCACCCGCCTCGGCCTCCCAAAGTGCTGGGATTACAGGCGTGAGCCACCGCGCCCGGCCCACTTTAATACATATTATGATAATAATGAAAAAGTTTTGAATATCGCCGATTACCAACATGTGGTACAGAGACATGAAATGAGCACATGCTGTTGGAAAAATGGTGTCAATAAAATTGCTTGATGCAAGGTTGCCACAAACCTTCAAGTCATTAGATAAAAACAAAAATGCAATATCTGTGGAGCACAATAAAGCAAAGCACAATAAAACAGGTAAGCCTTTATGTATATAGAGAGTACTTGGAGAAATAAAATCACTGAGCCATAAGTTACAAATAAACTGAAACTCAGGAATTTTATTTCTCCAAGTTATCAGCAGAACTTAATAAATACCAGCTATCACTTTTGTTTCTGGAGGGCTGAGACAAAGCACTATTCACTGTAGCAACTTGTTGAAATCCTCATATTCCTTTGCCTCCTCTTCACCATGCAACCCCTGCTGCAACCACTCCTCCCACAATTCATTCAGTATTTCATCAGCCTTGTAACTATCATGACAACTTATATTCAGTCTTGGGGAAAGGTAAGATACAGGCTTTCAAAAAAATAGGTATTTCAAAAATGTTACCAGCATGCTACCATCTTCATAAAAATTAAGGATCCTTGAAGTGTCAAGTTGACTAATGCACAAACACAAACAAGAAATGAGAGATAAATTTAAGTATCTATTATTTTCATAGGAATGACCTACTCCTTTGAAAAGGCCATTTTAATCCCAAATTTCTATTACTGTTTATCAACCAAAAACATTGTTCAGTAATGCCTCATCACTATAGAAGAGTTGTCCCGATGCTTCTCTTTAGGAATCATGTCAATTTGAGTTATAGTACATGCTAGTTAGATACAGTTGCTGAAGACATTGAATCTTTTCAAAGATGTCCTTAAATGCTATGCAAGAGAGTAATTATAACATGCTAATTTGTAGATTCTCTATTTTTATGTTCCTTGTTTTGCCTCTTTTTGCCTCTGGCCTTCGGCAGAATTCTGTCACTTATCAAAATCACTTCTGTGTCCAAAATCCCATTCTTCAGTACTAAAAAATGTATAATTTTAAAAATTAAAACAATATAATTTCCTGTGCAGTATTTTAGTCCATGCAAACTTTAATTACTCCCTGTTAATATTTTTTAAAATATTCTATTACTCCTTGATCCCTAACTTTTATACAGGAAGGCAAATGAATTTATTAAGATAAGGGAAAAAATCTTGTACTTTTTGTGAGTTATGCAAGAATCTTATGTCTAGAGAGCAAGAAATATATCTGTATGAATTTTTTTCATTCCAACTATGGAATCTTTCTTGCAACTTTTTAGTAAATTATAATTCCATTACTTTTTATTCCCCAAGGATGAAAAAAATGAGCTTCATTTTTTGGCAAAACAAATAAACATCCTGAGTTGATAAAAATATCAATTACAAAAGTGTCTACCCTAAAAGTCACATTCATTTTGTTTGTTATTGCAAGTTATTAAAAGGCTTCCAGGCATGCATATAAAACCTGAAAAACAACAGTTGAATCTATCATATTAAATTAAAATCCCTCCATAAAAAAAGTAAACCCAAGTAGTTTATCAGTTAGGGAATGCCATGCTGCCCCAGAAGTCAATACAAATAAGACTTTATTAAAACATAACTAAAATGAAGTTCCACAAGAATTCTCCATGGGAATTGTTCTGCCTCAAATTCAAACGTGGAGAGTAAAAATACATCAGCTGACCTTAATTCCTTTAAAGTAACAAAGGAAGAAAACGGAAACAAATTCCAAGGCCAACAACTGAAATAACACTTCAGAAAATATAGCCTCACAAAGGTATATATGGAAAAATAACTGCTCTGCAAGTTAGACAATTCTCTGCTTTCAAACAATTTATGCTCTTTAATATTTGTACTAGTGGTAAGCTTCTTTGACCATTTGTCTGATACCTAATGTACCTTCTTAAATGAATGCCTACAATTCTGTGTAGCTGCCATGAGTTGGCAATCCAGCTCATTTTCTTCTGTCTTTAGTTATTCTGTATTACTTGCCATATCATTAAACATTATTTTCATAAGAGTTCTCTATTTTCTTCCCCAAAGCAACATATAAAAAATTCAAAGGGTGTGCTCAGATTTGGACAATCGGGTTGTAGTACAGATACGATAGGCTTCCAGTTATACACAGTTCCCAACATGTTAGTTATATCTCTAACCAGATACACAAGTGTTAACACATCCCATCAGAAAGCTGATGTTCTACATTATCATGTTAAATGTCCACAAATTATTTCATGGAATGGATGTCCCAAAATATATTATTTGAATTATCTATAACTGGACATTTACTCAGTCTCTAATATTTTGTCTAAATAATGTCATGATAAACATTACTTAGCTCTTTGAACATCCATCCAGATACGTAATGATTAGAATCTTAATATCTTCAATATTTAAACCAAAAATACAAACCAAAGATCAGCAACAATTTTCATAGTTACATAAGAAAGCAATTTTCCAGATAGCTAGATAAAGAAATTTTCCATTATTACCTTCAGGCTTTCTTATGTACCTAGTGAACTTACTTCTTTATGTACTTAGTGAACTACAGAAAGCAAAGTAATGTAAATGTGTTTTTTTAACTGTTTGATTCACGTTTGAAAGAAACTACCCTTCTAATAAACAGGGTGCAGTATTTCAGACTATCTCCCAAATATGGAAGATATCGAATATCTTCTTCAAACACAAAAAGGTTATTATGTATTAATGGTGACAGGTGTTTGGGTACATATCAGTTTACTGCCCACATAAACTTATTCTGATATTTACCTGAGAAATGAGCCCATATGGAACAACTTCATTCAACACCAAGATGTACCTTGATGCCCTGTTGAGACACATAGAACACTGATTAATGTTATGACCTTTTTACAGTTCCCCCTTTTAAAGAAATAAAAATTATGCAGTCTTTCCTCATAGCTTCAGTTACTACAACATCCTGAACGGAAAAATTTCAGAATTTTTCATGGGAAAACTTTCTATTGGGTAAACATATGTGTTCTTTCCTAGCTTTATTTCTAGAGGGAAACTGTCAAGGTTTTTCATTGGCCCATCTTCTATCTCATTATCCCTATCTTCTGAACACCTGTGGCTTCATGGCATCAATATCTATTTGGAGGCTACAACAATTGAAACTAATCTAAACTAATCCCAGAAAGAGTAAAACAGTAATATTTTATGTTGCATGTAACAGTGAAAATATTGGGAAGGACGTGAGGAAGATCTGATGTGTATGAGTGGCACAGTACCTAGCTCTGTCCATGCTTCCTAAATGTTTCACTGAGCTCAGTAGGTTTACATGGCTTTAAAAGAAACTAAGGAGCCCATACATACCTTTGCCTTTATTTAAATAATCTTTAAAGTTCATTGAGAACTGTTTGTTAAATATGGCAGACTGTTAGATATGGAAGAATCTTCTGAGACCTCACAAAAATAACAGAAATGGTATTTTTTGAAAGTATAAACCCATGAAGACAAAATGAATGGCAGAGAAGACAACAATGTTGAGAGATATCAGGAATTTGAAAAACATAAAACAAGTGCAAGAGTGGAGGTTATAACCTAAGTATCTGGAAAAGAGAATCTTACAAAGTAGGGGGATTCGCCCAACAGAATTCCAGAAAGACTCCAGATTCAGAAGCACTGGTTATCTTGGAAGGCAGAATAGTAGAAAGTTGGAAGTTTCTGAGTCCACAATTTCCTCCTCCATAGGATATAGAAGACTTATTTCTAAAACTAATTCCATTAGGAACACTCTAGGTTGAGGGTGATTAATGGAACTGAAAACACGAGAAGAAATGAATATCTGCCCCCTTGTCCTTAGAATGGTTACCTGCCAGTAATTTACCTTCCAAGTGGGAGATTCTTTTCTGGAGAAACCAAACAGCCCTAGAGACAAGAGCCTCAAATACTAAAATTTGGAAGTCCTCAAACAAAAATTCCAGCTCCAGTGAAACCCCTCAATTGACAGCCCCACCTCCTTCATGCTTACCCACGAACACATATCTTCCAAAGAGTTCTTTAGGGATTTGGATTTAAATATGATAGCCTAGAATTACCTAGATAGCCTAAATGCTTGAGGCAAATCTCTAACATGAATAAAAGAAATCAAAAGAGAGAAATAGAAAAAAAAGAACCCATAGGAATTAGAGATACAGTATCACTAATGATCTAGAGATCTAATGATCTGATCTGAAGACACACCTGCATTAGATGGCAGAAGAAAACTGAAGAAAATCTACAATAAATATTCTCAGAGAATTAAGAATAGCTATTGGATTCTTATAACAAGAACAAGGCACTAATAAAAAATGACCTATAAGAAAACAAGAAATTAAAATATTCTATAGCAGTTTGAAAGATAATGTTGAGAAATTCTGCTAGAAAATAAGGCAAAAAGAAAAAATGTAGAAAATACAGGAAACGATAACAATTCGAGATGTCTTCCTAACGCCCAAATAATAGGAGTCCCTCCTTCAAAAAAAAAGAGAACAGAAAATATTGTCAGAAAGAAGATTACCAAACATCTAATACCAAAAAAAAAAAAAAAATTCAATATGGACCAGTTCCATATTAAAAGGATTTACCAAGTTCTTTGTACAATACATGAAAAGAGACCCATACCAATGTACATCATCACGAACATTATAACTCTCTGGGGATAAAGAGAAGATCTTAAAATCCACAAGAGAAGAAGAAGCAGGCTAAATAGAGAGCACTGGGAATCAGAATACCATTGCTCACCTCAAAAGCAACACTGAAAACCAAAGACTTGCTTTCAAAATTCAGACAGCATGATAGAGACATTTTCACACATACAAGGATTCAAAATATTTACCTCTTATGAACAGGTTTTAAAAGAAAGTACTAGAATATTGCATTGGCAAAATAATGGAGCAAACCAAGAAAGAGTTAGATTCAGAAAGCAGGAAATCTAACACAGGAGGGAAGCAAAGAAAAGTCCCAGCATGATGACTGTGCTGTAGGTCTAGACAGTCTGGATTAAAGGTTACAGGAAATCTCCAAGTCCCAAAAGACCAGAGCTGTGAATGGGTTATAAATGTGGGGAAACTGGTTCTCTCATCCTTGGAGTGGCTGGGTGGGGCCTGGAATGGTCAGAGTCCCAGGCCAGTGGCCTCAAGCCTTTAATACTCTCCTCCCATTTCTCACAAAGAACCATAAAAATATTATTTTCAATCTGTGCCATGACACAGAACATGTTGAAAAGCATTCTGATATATTTGTTGATGTACTGAAACACTCAGAAAATATGATAGGCTTTTAATGGATCTACTGAGAGCATTTGAAAAACTCATGGATGGTTACTGTGGCAGACAGTGGACTGATACCTAAAAGCCATTCACAATCCTCTTTTCCTTTGAGTTCTTTGGCGTAGGGACTGGAAACCTGAATTGCTGATTTTTCCAAACTCCATTGTGTCTAGATGTGGTCATGTGACTTAGTTCTGGCCAGTGAGATGTGGGTAGAACCTGCTGAGCAGAGCTTCTGGAAAAGCAGCTAATCATGACCATGGAGCTAAGACCCATACACTAAGAATGGAGGAACAGGAGGTGGGAGGAAGCCTGAGTCCTTGGTAATACTGAGGTGTCTTCCCCTCATGGTTGTAAGTGGCTACACTATGGCAAATAATCAATATCTAAAATTGATGAGTCAAGAGACAGAAATATTAGAAGACTATTTAGAAAAATGGAGGTAAATATCAGAAGAAACAGATCTTTCTGCATACTTGTTGCCGTTGAGGTGTGGGGAAGGGTGAGAAAATGACATATTTTCCATTATGTATTATTTAGGCTTTTAAAGCTATGTGTATGTATTATTCTAATAAAACTTAATTCAAAGTACTCTAAGTTACCAAAAAAGCAAGAGATGATAGCATTGAAATGAAATCCTGATGTCAAAGTCTCAAAAATAGCCAGTAGAATTTACATATTCCTCAAATCAGAAAAGAATAAAGGTTTATTTCATGGATGGACTAAGACACATTTAACTAGATCCTTTTTTTCTTCTAGTTTCTCTCACAGTTACTGTGAAAATCTAAATGTTGAAAAACTTAAAATTTTTTTTTATTATTATACATTAAGTTCTAGGGTACATGTGCACAACATGCAGGTTTGTTACACAGGTATACATGTGCCATGTTGGTTTGCTGCACCCATCACTTACAGTAGGCATTTCTCCTAATGTTATCCCTCTCCCAGCCCTCAACCCCCGAGACAGGTCACAGTGTGTGATGTTCCCCGCCCTGTGTCCATGTGTTCTCATTGTTCAACTCCCACCTATGAGTGAGAACATGCAGTGTTTGGTTTTCTGTCCTTGTGACAGTTTGCAGAGAATGATGGTTTCCAGCTTCATCCATGTCCCTGCAAAGGACATGAACTCATCTTTTTTATGGCTGCGTAGTATCCCATGGTGTATTTGCGCCATATTTTCTTTTTTTTTTAATTTTCCTGACTGTACATTTTCTTTTTTATTTTATTTTATTATTATTATCCTTTAAGTTTTAGGGTACATGTGCACAATGTGCAGGTTAGTTACATATGTATACATGTGCCATGCTGGTGTGCTGCACCCATTAACTCGTCATTTAGCATTAAGTATATCTCCTAAAGCTATCCCTCCCCACTTCCCCCACCCCACAACAGTCCCCAGAGTGTGATATTCCCCTTCCTGTGTCCATGTGTTCTCATTGTTCAATTCCCACCTATGAGTGAGAATATGCGGTGTTTGGTTTTTTGTTCTTGCGATAGTTTACTGAGAATGATGATTTCCAATTTCATCCATGTCCCTACAAAGGACATGAACTCATCATTTTTTATGGCTGCATAATATTCCATGGTGTATATGTGCCACATTTTCTTGATCCAGTCTATCATTGTTGGACATTTGGGTTGGTTCCAAATCTTTGCTATTGTGAATAGTGCAGCAATAAACATACGTGTGCATGTGTCTTTATAGCAGCATGATTTATAGTCCTTTGGGTATATACCCAGTAATGGGATGGCTGGGTCAAATGGTATTTCTAGTTCTGGATCCCTGAGGAATCGCCACACTGACTTCCACAAGGGTTGAACTAGTTTACAGTCCCACCAACAATGTAAAAGTGTTCCTATTCCTCCACCTCCTCTCCAGCACCTGTTGTTTCCTGACTTTTTAATGATTGCCATTCTAACTGGCGTGAGATGGTATCTCATTGTGGTTTTGATTTGCATTTCTCTGATGGCCAGTGATGGTGAGCATTTTTTCATGTGTTTTTTGGCTGCATAAATGTCTTCTTTTGAGAAGTGTCTGTTCATGTCCTTTGCCCACTTTTTGATGGGGTTGTTTGTTTTTTTCTTGTAAATTTGTTTGAGTTCATTGTAGATTCTGGATATTATGTTCCGTATTTTCTTAATCCACTCTATCATTGATGGACATTTGGGTTGGTTCCAAGTCTTTGATATTGTGAATAGTCCCACAATAAACATATTTGTGCATATGTCTTTATAGCAGCATGATTTATAATCCTATGGGTATATACTCAGTTTATGGGATTGCTGGGTCAAATGGTATTTCTAGTTTCAGATCCTTGAGGAATCACCACACTGTCTTCCACAATGGTTGAACTAATTTACACTCCCACCAACAGTGTAAAAGTGTTCCTATTCCTCCACATCCTCTCCAGCACCTGTTGTTTCCTGACTTTTTAGTGATAGCCATTCTAACTGGCATGAGATGGTATCTCATTGTGGTTTTGATTTGCATTTCTCTGATGACCAGTGATGATGAGCATTTTTTCATATGTCTGTTGGCTGCATAAATGTCTTCTTTTGAGAAGTGTCTGTTCATATCCTTTACCCACTTTTTGATGGGGCTGTTTTGTTTTGTTCTTGTAAATTTGTTTAAGTTCTTTGTAGATTCTGGATATTAGCCCTTTGTCAGATGGGTAGATGGCAAAACTTTTCTCCCATTCTGTAGGTTGCCTGTTCACTCTGATGATAGTTTCTTTTGCTGTGCAGAAGCTCTTTAGTTTAATTAGATCCCATTTGTCAGTTTTGGCTTTTGTTGCCATTGCTTTTGGTGTTTTAGTCATGAAGTCTTTGCCCTGCCTATGTCCTGAATGGTATTGCCTAGGATTTCTTCTAGGGTTTTTATGGTTTTAGGTCTTACATTTAAGTCTTTAATCCATCTTGAGTTAAGTTTTGTATAAGGTGTAAGGAAGGGATTTTAAAACCAATTTTTGTTAGAAATGTTGAGCTGTATTCCCACTGGGAGAATGTCTTAGTTAGTTCAGGCAGCTACAACAAATTACCATAGTTGGGTGGCTTAAACAATAAACAGCTATTCTCACAGCTCAGGAGGCTGGCAAGTCCAAGATCAAGGTGTCAGCAGATCAAGTGCCTGCTAAGAGCCAACTTCCTGGATTGCAGATGGCTGGCATCTCTTTGTATCCTTATATAGTAGAAAGCAGAGCAGAGACAGCAAACTCATCTTTCTTCTTATTAGGGCACTAATCCCCTTCATGAGGGCTCCAACTTTATGAATAATTAATTCCAAAAGGCCCCACCTCCTAACCATTACGTTGGCGTTAGGACTTCAGCATATGAATTTTGCAGTGACACAAACATTTAGTCCATAACAGGGGGAAAAGCAAATAAACTAAGTTGAAAAGTCCTGGTCAAACCAGAAGTAGTTTATTTTAGCAATAATTTCAATATTTCCAAGAGTTATAATCTTCTCCTTTGTCTTCTCAATCTAGAAGTAGATGTCATTTCTAATTTAATAATTCTTTTTTTACTCTTAAATTTATGCTTCGATAACTTTATTCTCCTCTGTTCATTTTAATGTAATGGAACTCCTTGTGTCACACACAGTTGGCATTTCAACTTACTTCATTTTAGGAGATTATATAACTTAAGGTCTTGCACACTGAAGGTACTCAATAAACGTATGTAGAAAATTTGGCTATGCAGAGCAGATTCATATTGAGGCTATTACTTAAGACAAATTTAGGCACAGGAGCACCTCAGCCTCTTAGGAGGGACAGTTTGGTCTCTTATGACAATCAGAATAGAACAAAGTGGAGAGATAAGTGAGGTCAGAATGGGGAAAGTGGCAGGATGCAGGCAAACATGTTCTTAATTTAGAGACAGATGAAGGCTCAGGACTTTCCTAGGCAGATAAAAGAAGAAAGAAGCTGCTTTTTGAAAAGAGGGATCAAGATTAGGACAAAAAGGGAGATTCAGCCATCAGCAGAACCCAAATGAGAGCCTACAAAGAGACACTGTCTACTCAGAGTACATCTTCAGACATCCAGGGTCCCAAGCTACTGTGTTTACTGTTAGCCCTTAGCCATTGTTAAGTCTTACTGCTTTATAACTCTTCTTTAAGAATATATTAATAGTAAAATTACTTACTCCTATATATACAACGAATCCTTAATTATCAAAAACATTTATAGTCATCACCTCATGATTCAGTTTGCCCTTCTCTAGTCCAAATGAATTGAAGTAGGAATTCATAGGACCGTTCCTAGTGAAGAAAGATTTTAGTGCTATTTAAAGAAAGTAAAAAGTATATTCTCCTCTGATAGAAATTTTCATTCTGATAATATTTTATTTGTATCTTTTTTTAATGTCATGGCAAGAAATGCAGTTGATGGGCAAGGGACAATGGCTCACACCTGTAATCCCAGCACTTTGGGAGGCCGAGATGGGCTGATCACCTGAGGTCAGGAGTTCGAGACCAGCCTGGCTGACATGGCGAAACCAGTCTTTATTAAAAATATAAAAATTAGCTGGGCATGGTGGTGGGCGGCTGTAATCCCAGCTACTCAGGAGGCTGAAGCAGGAGAATAATCACTTCAACCCCAGAGGTGGAGGTTGTAGTGAGCCGAGATTGTGCCACTGCACTCTAGCCTGGGTGACAGAGCGAGACTCTTTCTCAAAAAAAAAAAAAAAAAAAAAAAAAAAAAGAAAAGAAAAAGAAAGAGAAAAGAAAAGAAAAAGAAATGGAGTTGATTTTGAAGAGAAATCATTTTGAATAATTAACCATGAATTACTCTAATTAGCAGAAAATAATTATAGGTTGGACATACGCTCTTTCAAATGCAGAGGATAGAGTAAAAGAATATTGGAAAAATAATGCCACCTTATAGATGTTGCGATGAATCCCAAAGAGGGCTTTTCTTTGAATTAATCTTTAACTAAGGCATGTTAAATGTCTTCCATTAGAAAACATTCATATTTCTACAAGACAAAAATTATTACCTAGCATATGTTGTTAGTTAGAGAATCTTTATTGTAATAATTATTAAAGAAGACATCTTTAATGCTTCCTAAAAGAGAAAATATCATTTCCTTTGTTCCTTTTATAACACCTTCTGGATCACCAGAACAGCCTTCGATAGATTTAGCATATTTGTACATCATAGGAATACTTAAAACACTGTTTGTAAGTGGAGTTTAATATATTCATGTCACTTGGAAAACGTTTGTCAAGTGATTAACATCACAGTTGCACTTGTGGCTTCTGTTTCCTGTAGGGGAAGAATATGTGGCACACTGATGAGAACAGGTAACAGATTCCTTTGCAATTAGTTTCTGTTCTGCAAAGACCATCATCAGGACTGAAATGAGAGCTGACAAAAAGGTATATAGTCTACGTGAGGTATACTTTTGGGCTAAAGGGAGCCCAGATATGGGACCCAGGAGACATGTGCTCAGATATGGCACCACAGATAACTAGTTAGTCCCTGACTAACTATGCAACTTGGATAAGTCTCATTGTGCCTCTTTAGCTGTTTCTTTATTAGTAGTACCATCCATCTCACAGGATTGTAACATGGTAAAAATGAAATGTGAAATTAACTTTCGAAAGTTAAAAGCAACAGCAACAACAAAAAGGTAAAGCATTGTTTGGACAAAAATGTAATTTTTTGGAAGAGGTAGTTGGGGAGGCAATGTGGAGATGTAGGTCCAAGGATAAAAAGTTGTAATTATGTAGGATGAACAAGTCTAGATCTAAGTACAGCATGAGGACTACAGTTAATATTGTATTGTATTTGGGATTTTTTGCTAAGAAAGTAGAATTTAGATGCTCTTGCCACACATACAAAAGGGTAACTGTGCAAGTTGATGGATATGTTAATTTGCTTAACATAGTAATCACAATGTATATCACAGCATCATATTGTATATCTTAAATATATACAATAAAAATGTAGCTTTAATATATATGATTTTTACCAAAAAATAATTTGCAATTTAGAAATGAGGAGTATCTGGCATATGGTCGAATAAAGCATAACTTATTTTCATATACCATCATATATAAAAATAAATTCAAAGATGCCTGCTTTTATGATTGTTAAGAGCTAATTATGCAAGAGAGTATCTTTGCAAAGAAATATATAGTGACATTCTGATCATTGGTCACAAATGTGATTTTCTAGGTTAGGTTTCAATTTTGAAAACAACATTCTTGCTTCTTAAATCCTTGCTCTTTTTCTACATCACTCTTTTGCCACCATCAAGAAAGCTTTTTCTATATCACTCTTCTGCCACCATCAAGAAAACTGTTTTTCTTGATTGTTCAAAATAATAAATGGAGTCAAAGCCTATGTGTAGAATAAACAAATGGTCTCACTTGCTTAAAAAATAACAGCACTCCTTGATCCTTTCATTATACCATCCTCTCTCCTCTTCTTTTCTTTTCTCCTTACCTGAAATATTGAATGAAACATTATCTCCAGTGAATCGCAATTAAAATATATGTTGGTTGCCTGGGAGAGGAGAGAAAGGCCCAAGAATCTCCTTTAATCTTCTCTTACAGGCTATTGGCATGGATTCTTTTATCTGATTAGATAAAACAGTTAGCTTTCAGTATGGGCAAGTTGGACTAGGATTTCAGGAGAAGCTGTTTAGTGGTTATAATCGGTGATTTTTAAGGTTCCTTTCAACTCTGAAATATTTTATTACAAGTAGACCTGTGTAGCCAAGGGGTGCCCTGAGAGATAAAGGGAGGGAGACTACTAAATGACAGTGAAGAAGTAAGATCATAGAGGAAAATTATGCACTTCACTGTTTTGCCTGGAACTAGACGGGCAAAGGCGTGGGTGAGAAAAAAATGGGCCTTGATGCAGTATCTAACAAGCCACAAACATCTTAACTTCCTAAACCTTACATAGATTCTTACTGAGAGAGAAAATAGATTTCACCAAAGAAAAGACAAGGTTCTTTGGGGAAGGAGATAAAGACAGAGACCTCTGTATTTGTTCCTCCAATAACAGGAGGAACTTATCAAAGAATAAGGACATAGATGCCTCATTCCCAGAGACTACTTAGGTTTTCCATGATCTTGAAATCTTGAAAGCTCAGGCAGCAGAGGAAATCAGTTCAGGCCTGTTTGTGACAGAGTGGACTCATGGCTGGAGAATGAGCAGAGACTGCCCCTGTCCTCTGGGTCTTACTCCTTGATTTTCAGGAACCTCCTCACAAAACATCGCCTCATTCTTGCCTCTTGGAGCAGGTTCCTGTGAGGACTCAGACTCAGGAGAGCATATCTTGTAATTATCTTGGCTGAGGACCTCTTGACCTTGGACAGCTGAAGGAGGGTCTGGGTGCATATATTGGCCATGTCTGATTTTACAGAAGTAATCTTCACAGGCATGGTTTGGTGGAACTTGTAGCCATCTGCAAGGCCACTGTAGAAATACACATCATTTACTTCGAGTCTATAAAGTTTTGTGGATCAAATAGGAATGACTTGTCAAGTGGCAACTCCTAGAGAAGGATGAAAGTTGGCCACTTCCTGCTCCTGGTTACTCTAACCTCCAGCTCCTTCTGAAATCCTGGCAGGCTCTACCCCTGAGACCACAAAGAGGGACTCTTAGGGTCACACCTCGTAGTCTGTGGAGGACTAGCATCTTCTTTTGATGAAACTGAAATGCAACACTTAATACTCTCGGAAGAGAGAAAATGAATGATAAGAATTCTGACAACCTGGCTTGAATGTTTCTATTACAAAATTAGAGAAACAATCAAATTTGAAGGGACATGTAAAACATCACAAAAATGAATCAGTGGTTACTGAGGAGTCTAAACTCTAGGTCATACTAATGCATATATGTTTCCAGGTCTGCTGTGATGGTTAAAATAGGTTAATATTAATAGTTTTCAGTCCCATAATAAAATAGGTCTAAGACCTGTAGTGCACTTTATCCTCTTAAATTGGCTCACCATGTACATGGAATGTATAAAAGAACCAGATCAAGTGTTATCACAGATTCTTAGTGAATGGAATCTGAATCAGGATTCACAGGATTTGTTTAGTTAATTGTCTCTATATAGTCATTTGCCACATAATGATGTTTCAGTAAACAATTAACAGCATATACATTTATATATGCTGTTTATATAATCCATAAGATTATAATGGAGCTGAAAAATTCCTATTGCCTAGTGATATCATAGCTGTCATAAAGTGGTAGTGCAACACCTTACTCACATGTTTGTGTTGATGCTGGTATAAACAAATGTGTGCTGCCAGTCATATAAAAGTGCAGTATAGCACATAAAATTATGTATAGTAAATAATGCTTGACAATATTAACAAATGACTATGTTACTGGTTTATATATTTCCTTCACTCTACTTTCATTGTTATAGTGTACTCCTACTTATTAAAAAAAAAATGTTAACTGTAAAACAGCCTTAGGTGGATCCTTCAGGAGATACTGTAGAAGGCAGAATTGTCATGAGAGATGACAGCCCCATGTGTGTTATTGCCCCAGAAGAACTTCCAGTGGGATAAGATGTAGAAGTGGAAGACAGTGATATTGATGACTCTGACCCTGTGTTGGCTTCAGATAATGTGTGTGTTTCAGTCTTAGTTTTTAACAAAAAAAATTTCAGAAGTAAAAAATAAAATGTTTTTAAAATAGGAAAAAAGCTTATAGAATAAGGATATGGAGAAAGAATTTTTTGCACAGCTATACAATGTATTTGTGTTTTAAGCTAAATGTTATTACAAGAGTCAAAAGTTTAAAAATGTCAACATTTATAAAGGTAAAGAACTACAGTAAGCTAAGGTTAATTTATTATTGAAGAAAAAATAGTTTTTATAAATTTAGTGTAGCCTAAGTGTGGAGTGTTTATAAGTTCTACAGTAGTGTACAGTAACATCCTAGGCCATCACATTCATTCACCACTCACTCACTGGCTCACCAGTGCAACTTCTAGTCCTGCAAGCCCTATTCATGGTAAGTGCCCTATAAAGGTGCACCATTATCTTTCATATGATATTTTTACTCCTTTTCTATATATAGTTATGTTTAGACACACAATTACCAGTGTGTTACAATGACCTACAGTATTCCAATACAGTAACTTGCTGTGCAGGTTTGTAGCCTAGGAGCAATACACTATACTATATAGGTATGTAGTAGGCTCTACCACCTAGGTTTGTGTAGGTCCACTCTATATGATGTTCAATGATGAAGTTGCCTATCAATGCATTTCTTAGATTGTATCCTCATTGTTAAGCAGTACGTAACTGTATTTAAATATTGTGACATGGGATATATTTTTATAATCTGTTCATATAGCTCAGGGGTCTCCAACCCCCAGGCCACAGATGGTACTGGTCCATGGGCTCTTGGGGACCAGGCCACACAGCAGGAGGTGAGTGGTGGGCAAGTGAGTGAACCTGAGCTCCACCTCCTCTCAGATCAGCGGCAACATTAGATTATCATAGGAACGTGAACTCTGTTGTTAACTGTGCATGCGAGGGATCTAGATTGCACACTCCCTATGAGAATCTAATATCTGATGATCTGTCACTGTATATATTACACGTAATAATATATACATGTATATACATTATATATTACAATGTAATAATAATAGAAATAAAGTGCCAATAAATGTAATGCGCTTTAATCATTCCAAAACTGTCTCTTCTCCCCGCCCCCATCTGTGGAAAAATTGTCTTCTACAAAACCAGTCTCTAGTGCCAAAAAGTTTGGGGACCTTTATGAGCTACTTATGGAGTATCTAATATACATAAAGCTTAGTGATAACCAGTGCAAAAGCACAAAGATAGAGACGAGATAAGCACATAAATAAGACCCCAAAGCTGAATAAGGTAAATGTCATAGGAAGGAACAACAACAACAACAAAAATCTGTGGGTTAAGGGCAGAGGAGTAATATCCAGTTGGAAAATACATTCATGGAGAACAAGAAATTTGATGGAGATCTGGAAGCAGATAAGTAGGATGTTAGCAGGTGACATTGGGAAGAAATATGCAGTGAGGAGGAAGGAGCATAAATTAGAGGGTAGAGGCAGGACACATGGAGTAAGTTCATGGACAAGGCACTCCAATTTAATCATAGCATGAAATCAACTCTGTGGTATGTTGGCAATCTCCCTTTTCCTCACAGTTCTGGAATGTTTGCTACTGCAGTTTGGTTTAGTTCAACAGTCATTCCTTGGATACCCACTAAGTGACAAACACTGTTCCAAAGCAGGGAAATAAAAGATAAAAAGGTATACACATTCTTTGCCCTCACATCACTTACAGTGGGGCAAATCCTTTGAACTATCATGGTTATTGGAAATATGCTTGGAATGCTTTTGGATGGAGAGGCATCCCTAACCCAGCCTGTGAAGTCAGTCAAGACTTTCCAAAAACAAAATGGTTAGAACTCAGTCTAGATGGACAAGAAGGAATTAGGTAAAAAACAGAAGCAAAGGTGTTCAAGGCACAGGGAAGAAAAGCATGAGAAAAAGGTATGAAACAGCATTTGAGCTCGGGAAACTATAAGAAGTTCAGGATTCCAGAAGCATTCATTCAAGTAATTTCTAAGGAGTGTCATTATTGCTCCAATATTTGCTTTTTGATGTGAAACTGAGAAATATAATTATATGGCTTTCATGGTAAGCCCACACCCTTTACTAACTTTGGAGTTACTAATGGTATTTCATTTTTAGAATACCTACGTGTTTGTGTTTTATTGTTATTCTACCACATGATGATTTTGTAAACAAACATTGCATATATTCAATGTTCCCTGAATTTCATTACCTTGACTCAATGAGCTTTATGATTGTAATACTATTGGGCAACATACCCAAGAGTTATAAGAATGCCCAACATTGAGACGTTTGCAGCATTCCCACCTTCTTGTTTTGTTAAAAAAACGTATTGCCTTATAAGTGAATCTAAGTATTATTCACACAATCCCTTAGTATTATATACTTCTCAGTCCCAAATAGTTCTTATGTTCTCACTACTGACACCTTAAATCTCTATAATATTATTTGTGTGTCCCTTTTTAAAAAAACACTGATATCTAAATACATGAATAGCAAAAGTATTCTTCCTGGACTATACTTCTATCTTCTCTGCCCTGGTCTAATAATTCTCTATCTTTGAAGTACATTTTCAGAAAGCAAAATTTAAATCAAGACTGTCATTTCAAAATATAGGGCTACCTACAGTATGGGTATGTATAACTAAATATGCTGCTCAGTGGACCAGGAGTTCAGCCCATCATGGTAAATAGCATGTGTGACACCAGGGTTTCACTCACTGCTCAGTTTTGTGGCAACTGTGGATCACTGTGTAACCTCAGTCTTCGTGGCTTCTCATTTATGGGGCTCTGCTCAGCTGTAATGGAAGCAAAAGATGTGAAATCAGATACCACTGAAAATGTTTATCTGTATGAGTAAAAGCCTTTTACTCTCTTGCTAAGTTTTTTCACTATGCTATTTATTTCTATTTTAAGGAAAGTTTTTTTAAATGATACGTAAGTCATTTTAAAATGGTATCTACACACACCAGATAGAAAATTAAAGGACATGAATAATTTAAATTTTAAATGCTTCCTTTGGTTATCAAGATATTTGAGTTCTCAAATGTTTGAATAGTTGCTTCATACTCAACTCCTACATGTATACATAGTAAAAGAGAAAAAAATCCTTTGAAATGTTCATATTTTCCTCTTATGTCAACATGGATATGTCATAATATTTTTTGTTTTATGGGACTCATTTCCAGTTGATGCAGAATTTTAAAGTCAAGATAATCACAATAATTAAGGAGTAAATGTGTAAATGAGGGCCTGATTCAAGTTATTTAATTAACATAGATTCATGGAAATTTGACAACTGGAGGATTAAATATGGATTTTCATCTAATCTGTTTCTGTACTTTTCAGTTCTCCTAAACTATCACCAAATAAAGGGCAACAGTAGAGAATCAGAAATGTGAAAAAAAATTAGGAAGCTATTTCCTGTTCCTTTGTGGCTTGTCTAGTCTAATACTCCTGCATTGAGAAGTTCTTAGAGACAATTCTTGTGAATCTTTTCTATGTGGGGGAAGTGAGAAGACGGAGAAAAATGGCTCTCCTCCCTAAATATAGTCCTAGTGGTGTTGATGTTAACCTGTTCAGGATAGACCAAGCCCTTTAGTATGAACGGGAGCCCTGGGTCCCCCAGGACTAGGTAATCATTGCCTTTTGTCCCCTCTTATCACAGGCTAATCACTTTATTCCTCCTGGATTCCTCCTGTTAAAAATCAGGTAAAAAAGCCCAATGGCAGCAATTAAACCTACCTTCCATTCCATCTGAATGGAACAGGCTTCCAACAATGTTTCTCTCAAAGTACAAACGTTTCTCATCTCTATTCCCACTACTACTCCCTTCACCCCTAAAGAGTCCCAGACAGAATTTTCAGATTCAGGCCAAATCCCTTCCATTTACTTCCACAGTGATCTTCCTTGAACACTGCTTTACCATATTCTTACCCTGCTTTCTTCTCCCTCCAATTGGAGAGAACCAATACTTACTTAGGGCCAAATAAACTGGCTAATCTATAATTCCAAACTAATAATAATGTTAAGGTGATGTGTTGGGGGTGTTGTACCAGCCTAAAGAAAGCATGTTGGGAGAGCCTCTTTTTTATGGGATGAGTTGGCTTATCTTCCCTAGACACACCAAAATCATGGTAGAGGAACCCGGCATGGGATCATCAGGAAGAGGAAGTGGGGCAGTGAGATAATAAGTACTAGTATGAACACTGAATCTGAAGTGCCAGGAGTTCATCGTGGTGAAATTGTCTAGAATAACAAATATGGATTCGGAGCTTATCAGGGAAGTCTGGTCATGAGAGTCCTCAGGGATGCTTAGGGGTTTACGAGATGCAAGGTTATGAGATGGCCAAGGATGGGTTTGTAGTGTTAAGAGGAGAGGGCTAGAGACAGATGGAGGAGGAGCTAAGAGTAGGAGGGCAACCAGGAGAGAAGAGTGCGAGGAATCAAGGGAGGAAAGTTTTTCAGGAAAGAAGAACCATTCACCAGTTTAAGTCCCAGCGAGGCCAAGTTAGATTAAGATTAAAAAGGGAAAAGGGGAAGAGAGAAATACAGAAAGCAAGTAGACTACTTAGGCAAATGAGATTTTCAGTAATAAAAGAGAACAGACTTCTATTCCTCAATCTTTCTTTCCATCTTCACCTCATATTTATCTCCAAACAAAACCATATTTCTACATTGTTTGTCAATATTTGAATTTATCAATTTGAAAAAAATATTTTTAACTCTTCACAACTCCCACACTAAGCCTAAGGCCAAATCTTTGTTCTGTTGAATCCCTTTTCTCCATTCCCACCCATTGGCCTTTTCTTTGCCCTGATGTGTTTCTCATGTTGGTTTCTCCTCTGGCCTATGTGCAACGTACCTGCCAGATGGACATTTCTGCATTATGCACACTTGGTCCATCTTTTATTTTTACTACTTTCATTAGCTTCTGCTTTCCTTTAGTAATAGATTCAGATTTATTTTCCACTCTGCCTTTATCTTCTCTTGATTGCCATTTTTTGAGCCTTCTTTTCCTTTTCCTTGACCATCATTCCATCTTGTTGTCTGATCCCCTGAACACTTGTCACCTGGCACTTTCTGGCAACTTCCAAAGCCACCCCTCTGAAACTTTCACTTTTCTTCTCTTGTCTTTAAAAAAACTTGGCTGCTGTATTTCATTAATGAATATGAATAGGAAGCAAGTTAATGTCACTTTAATATTTTGATTTAGATTATCCTCATCTTGACCAAATGTTGCATTTCATGTGTATAATTCAAAATATTTCAGTGTTGTCTATTTTTTCTTATTTTGTTTTGTTGTTTGTTTGTTGGTTGTTTTTTCCTCAAAACTCAGGCTAGGCCCTCACATGAACGTAGAGAAAAGAGTTTGCCTGGGCAATATGATTTGAAGGGTGTCTTAAAGCTCAGTAACTGGTCACAGTTACTCAAGTACTTATTATTCTCTGCCTTTCAATTGAATTGAGGCATTTTAACTTCTAAAATGCTAAAATAATTTCTTAAGCCACTAGGAGCCATGAAGACATCAGACAGGGTTATATTTACAAGGAGGGTAGGAAGAAATTTGGTTTGATTGAGGCAAGAATAAAGATGGCCCAGGACCGAGGAGTTTCCCAGAGAGTACAAGCCCTGGGGCCACTAGAGTGGAGGGCTCAGAGCAACTAAAGTCAGTCGAACACTTCAGGTATTGGGGGAAGGGAAGGGTGATGCTACCATCAGGAGAGGATGTGGAAGTGAGACAAGGGTAAAATGAAAAGAAACTTCTCTTATATCATTGGTTTGCCTCAATGAATAAGTCTATTTAAAAGGGGTTCCTTTTGGTTATTTTTTGAGGGTTTTATTTTTATTTCCTTTAAAATGAATATTTGTCCAATTACTTGATAAAGGAAGGAAGGGTATGATCTTTATAGAGATCCTCTTTTCCATGCAGCACACTAATTGCAGGGAAAAATATAGGAAACATTTTCTGTCTACTCATTTACTCATTTATGCATATACCCATGTACTAATTAAAAAATTATCCAGGGCCGGGTGCAGTGGTTCATGCCTGTAATCCTAGCATTTTGGGAGGCTGATGCAGGTGGATCCCTTGACGCCAGGAGTTTGAGACCAGCTGGCCAACCTAGCAAGACTCCATCTCTAAAAAATGAAAATAAAAATAAATCATTGTGAATGTGATGTGTGCTAGGTACTTTGGCATTTTAAATAAAATGGTAAATAAGACACAGTTCCTATCATCCTGGAGTCTAAAGTAGTGTGCATGGACAGATAACAAAGCAGTTACAGTCCAGCATGTTACGTGCCATGATCAGAGAAGTACAGGTGCTTCCTGGAACAAGAGAAAGGGCACTCCATGCAGATTAGGAGCAACAGCAAACTTCACAGTGGGAATGACATCTTAATAGGAGTTGGCCAGGCCAGGCTAGAGGGAAGGGGCAGAGATGTGAAGGTGAAGATGGAAATAATATTCCAAACTGGAAAACAGCACCTGTATCACTCAAGGTGAGTAAGAATGTGACTTTCACAGACATAAACAATGTTGTCTGTGGTGGGAAGTCAAAGTCGAAGGGCTAAGTAGATAAAAGATGAGAGTCTGGGTCCCATCATAAAGGCCTTTTGTGGGCTGTTCAAGGAATTTATATTTAACCTGAGGATAAATATATGGAGAATCATTGAAAGGTTTTAGATAGTAAAATAATGTCATCAGATTGCTTTGTAGAGAGCTGATTCTAGCTAAAAGAGGTAGTATTAGGTGGGTGGAATAGGAGACTGCAATACCAATTTGGAAGTCACTGTTGCAGCCATTCTAGCCAGAGATAATGGTAGTCTAACTTATATTACCAAGAGAAAGGACTCATTCAAGAGATATTTATTATATAGTAGATAATATCAATAGGACTTGGAGGTTTATGAAACCAGAGAAAAAGGAAAATCATGATGCCCAAATTTCTCCTATGGCCACTAGATGAATGCTGTCATTCATTGAGATGGAGAACACCAGAGAAAAATCCTTTTGTGGGGAGAGAGCCTGTGAAACACCCAAGAGTCAAACAAACAGGGGTTACAATCCTAAGTCTTTGGTCAAGTTACTTATCTTAGAGTGCCTCAATTTCCTTATCTATGAAATGGGGATGATATTACCTATTTCATAGAGCTATTGATAGAATTAAATGAGATAATGTACATAATGTATTTTATACAGTAATCTGGATCATATAAGTATTCTTAATAATTAATATGATTCATATTATTTAAAACTTTGTTAAGGTGGTAGTTCTCCATGGCATTTTTACATGTCTTGTGATGGCTTTTGTCCCAGACTATCTGTTCAAAGAGCTCTGCATAGCAGACAGCCTCAAGATAGTGAGTCCCTCAGGGTAGAAAGCAGATTTGTTTCTCTACTGGGATAATAAAGATAATGACTCCTTCCTGGGCAAAGGTTGGGCTGGTTTGCTAGCAGCCCCCTAATAAGATTGGATTTCCCAAACTGAGGTTCCTTAGCTATGACACAAATTCACTATACATGCAGCATCCACTTGGGCCACTCTGTATTCCTCCTGTGAGACTTGGGAGTGGGGTGACCAAGGGTATCCCGTGTAAATGTGGAGCTTATGTTGCCCATAGTCCCATGAGTAATTAAGGTCTTTGCCTGTCTCCTAATAGCCTCATGTCTCCTGCTAGCATTTATGAAACCTTAGCAGGCTATCTCGTTAGCTTAAAAGCAAGGGAAAAATCTCAGACTCTTCACGTTTCTTGATGAAGTTGTCTCCTAAATGTTTACATGTATGTTGTAAAACCTTGATACAGTGGCTGTGTAAGACGCTATTTTCCAGTCTTGACATTGAACATTTTCCATAAATCTGATTATGGGCAATATATAAACAAAACTGTATGAAACAAGAGTGTTTATTTTCACTTTGAAGAATTCGATCGTTTTGCTTATTTGTTTGGGAAAAGTTTGAGAAACACAAGATTACTTTGCGTTTAAAATATTTCTTCTTTCAGGCACAAATCCATGGGGGACAAATGTTTATCGTATAAATCCTTACTATCTAATAAGTACTAAGTATCACAAGTATATGTTGAAATCATACAATAATTTTACTATTAATAGCAATCATTGAATAAATAGCATAGATTAAGGCAGCCATTGGCTAGCAAATTCCACCTATGTATTAATGAAGAGTAACATCGTGTATTCATATATATCAGATAATCTCTCACTTAACTTGCCAGTGTTTATTCAGGTATGGGCACATAATTTCTAAAAGGCATCAATTTGTATTCATGTACGTATATATAAAATACCTAGTTATATCTGAGAACATAGTTAGGGATATGCTCTGTAAGAAAATATGATGATCCTGGAGTTAAATAAAATGAAGAATGTTCACTTGGATCCAATATGATCAGATGCAGATAACATCCAGTAGGGAACAGGGTCTGCAAACTACAAAAAAAGGGCAAAATACACAGATAAGAGAAAAAATGAGTTACAGGTAGGACTCAAGATAGTGGACAAAGTATACGGAAGATAGATCTTACTTTAATAATCCAAGACAAGAATGAGAAGGAGAAGTAAAAGATCTAGCGTGTTTTAATAGAGGAAGCTGGAAATACAGTCCAGGATGGGGGCAAATAAGGCCTTGTTCAGGGAAGGCTTCCTAGAGCAAGGAACACTGACCATGTGAAGGAAGGAATCAGCGTGATAACATGAGACCCTAATCCAGATACCAAAGGGGTGACTTGGGAGCCTAATAACCCTATGTTTCTAAACACCAGAAGATAGTCACTCATTTGAAGGGGAGAGGAATAAAACCACAAAGAGTTTGTAAACCAAAATGTCTATAACATGTGGAGAAACTTCCATGCATCTGAGTTATTGGTACCAAGAAGGGGCAGTTTAGTGTTCTTAAACTAAAGGTGTCATTCTTTGTGGCACAGGTGAAACCCAAGCTAAATTAAATGAACATGAAACTACACTAATAGTGTTTCTAAACTGTATATCATTTTAAGTTTTAGTTGTATTCTTGAGACATCTCTGGACTAAAGAACAGACAAAGAGTTGGAAAAATAATCCACTGAGAAGGCCAGAGAAAATATAAGCCAGGAACTCAGATTTTGATCTTTGTTGATAGTATTTTTGTCTCTCTTATTCCTGGGTAGTGGTAGACAAGATGGGGCAATAATAAAAATTGCTTAGTTTTGGAGACATGGCCAAAATCTAAAACACTATCATGTTTAAAATAATTAAAGTGTCAGGCATTCTTTTACTTGTACACTACATCTTTGTTTATTATTCTGTTAGATAAAGCCTCGTGTCATTATACTCCAGGCAAAGCTGTTAACAAGGAAACTAAATCCACACCCTAGACCTAATTTTTTAATACAGTTTCTTCTTTGATCTATTGCATCTCTGTATTTAATTATGAGGTCTGACTTGATGCCATTGTATCTTTTGCTCTTCTAGCTCTTTCTGTAGTTTGTAAAAAAAGAATTTTCTGTTTCTTTTAAAGCAAGCTCATTTTTAGTTAGTTCATTGAAAGGTGTAACCTTCTACTTCTTATTGCTCCTTGGGTCCTTTTATTCTTTGTCTCCTGAACTGACACAATTACCACCTCTATATTCTGCAAATATAGCTTGCAGAGCCGGTTTCCTAAGAATATAATTTTCAAAAGTGCCAGACATAAGAATGACTCTAAAGCCATTTGATGAGTTCACTGTTACATTTCCTCATTTGCTTCCTTCCCAAAGAGATTTTGATTTTTGCCTGGAACATGCTTATCAGCTTAAAGGTATGCAGCATCATTATGTTATAAGGATTTTCTTCTGCAGCAGCAAGTGCACTAGCCTTGAATGAAGCAGTTGCTAATCATGTTGCACTAAGCAAATAAAAGTCAGAACCGACCTAATCTTGCTTGCCTAATACCAGTTTCTGCTGCAGACTTCAGTGTAATGTTCTAATCACTGGCGCAAAACAGCCAATTAATTTGCCTTCCCTACGTGTTTTTACTGGCCAAGATGCATAGGGGAGCAGTGCGTTCGGTCATAATCATGCTCCACAAAGATGGGAAATGTTCCCTTTGAGCTTCCAATCATTAGGCCAGCTGAAGTGAAGACAAGCCCATTGACAAGTGAGAATGGCAATAATTTATTTTCTATTGATGGGTTGTGACAAATCATGTCGAAGCAGTGGCTGCATACTGTGGGGCTCTGCGAAGGAAGACTGTGATGGGCAAAGATGAAACCCTTCACAGCTCATTTAGTCCAAATGTAGCCACCTGGGTGGTGAATCGGTTCAACATACCAGCCCAGGCATTCCAGCACAAAATTAGATCACTAACAGGCAGGCCATATAGGGATTCCTAGAAGACATTAATCAACAGGGTTGAGCTGTCAAAATGCAGAGTTTGAAATTAAGAAACACCAAAAGGATGAAAATGTGGCAATGCTGTCAAAAAAATCAAGTATGTGATGTCTACTGCAGGATTCTAGCCACCATTAAAAAAGCTTAGAAGAAAAATAAATTATAAACAGGTAAAGAAAGGCATTACCCTACTGAAAATTTTCCTAACATTTTTACACATGTTAATTAGTAAAAGCAGCATAAAAAGTTATGCAAGCATGAGCACAACCCTTTTCAACTTAACACTGACAGGTCAGCTACATGTAAGTCCTCCTTACCGCCCCACAGCATAGTTCGTCTCTTATTTAAATTTCTTTTCTACCGGACCTACTGATGTGCAAAGCATTTGATGTCTCACCCTGCTTATGAATACCAACATTGCAAACTACAGAATTTTTAGACTTGCATGGTTCATTTTCTGAACACTGTTTTTGGTAGAATAGAGATTTCTAGAATCTGGACTATTCAGGGGTGTGTGTATGTGTTATGTGTGTTTCTATGATTATATTTTATCAGTATGGTTTTCTTTAAAAAGCTCATTGTCTGTTTTCATGTTATAAAAAACATTTAATGCAATAAACAAATTCAAACAGTCAGAGTTACTGAAACTGACCGAATTTTCACTGAGCAAAAACATGAAAACTTCCATTACCTAAAATTATAAAATTTAAATCCTGAAGAATTCCTTTCCAAGCCCCACATGGGTTTTTTCTTAAAGTTTGGTCTGTGGACCACAAACATCAAAATGATCTAGAGCACTCACTGAAAATGTAAATGCACAGACCAATATCCCTCAGACCTACTGCATACAAATTTTTGGGATGGGCCTGAGAACTAGAATTTTAATAGGATCCCCAGAGTGATTCTGAATGTACAGAAAAACTTGAAAACTACCTATTCTTGTATGAATAAGCCCTGGCCCGTTTTCAAGTTCAAACACTTGCTTCTTTCCAGCACTGTCTAACACATCTCCCTCTTGGACAAGCTATGCTCCATTTGTTCACAAACACTCTAATACGTTCACATTTCCATGCCTTTGATCATGCTGTGCCCTTCATCTAGAATTCCTCCCCAATCTCCAGCCCCAGCTCCATCTTTCCCATCCTCTAAGAGTCAGCTCAAATGCTCACTCCCACATGAAGCCTTCTCTGTAACTCTCAGCTAGATGTTAATATTCTGGCCTCTGTGCTGTCTTAGCCTTTTGTTTGTGTGTTTTCTAGCATTGCCACCTTGCCTTTCATTGCAGTTACCTGTATATGTGCTTTATCTCCCAAAGATGGTTCACTCTGTGAGGCTCATGTCTGGTATGTCTGTTAACATCTCATAGCATCTAACTCATTGCCTCATATTATATGTACAGTAAATGTTTGTGGAATTGAATTGTTGAATAATAGATGTTAGTTAATTCAAACCTAAGCTTTATGCTTTTAAGTCAGTCAGGGAGGTAAGTGTTCTCCCTTGCTTTATGCTCAGAATTCTCATTAGCATCTTGGACTGAGTTTACCTGTGAGCAAAAATAAATGAGGTCTGTTATTTTATTTATTTGTTTGTTTTACTTATATACAGTTTGTCTGTCAAATACTATTCTGCTTTATATTTTCTCTATTAGCTTTGATGATATTTTCCCTGAAAGAATATTTGTTGATATTCTAAGTCTTCAGTTGAAACAGATATGTAAAGTGTATTAATTTGCTGGAAAAAATAAATGACCTTACAGCATGCTACTCTAAACCATTTGTTTTATAAATATTTCAGATATTCATGGGCTTAAAAAAACAAAAACACAGGAACTTTATGCCCTAAAATATTTGATAGCTCTGTATGATGATTAATGAACAGTTCGGCAATTGTTCAACTATGCCTAACTTAAGACTAATATCTTATATCCCAATATAGCATAAAGCATGGAAGCCATGGTTTGGCTTTTCATAACCTAAGGAACAAGTTCAGCCTGACTTTAAGGTAAAGAAGTGTTTGACTGCGAGCCCCCCTGTATTCTGGAAGCACAAGAAAGATTTGAAAGATACAGGGCAAATCCTATCAGTTTTATCCAGGTTCTTGAAAGTAGTATGGTCTGCTCAATCCATGTTGTAATTGTTTTAAAAACCCCTTTTTACCTATGTGTTATTGTGATATTGCTGTGTGTTTAGACACCACGGAAACATATGCGTGAAATGTTGCCAGGATACTTGAGAATATGCACTTGAAAAAATAAAATAATTCAAGCTAATTTAAGTTAAACCTATTCTAGTCAGAAGAATGGTCCTTTATCTGTCTTGGTCTTCAATTACAAACACTCTTGATGAGGAGTAGGCATTGAGGAGGTGCCTCTGACTTTATTTGAGTGCCAAAGATCTCTGGCAGACTAGAACCAGGACAGGGCTGCTGGGAAAAGTTCTGAAGGTGTGGGAAATGATTCTTTCAAAAAGAAGGTGATATGTAAACTTACCTCTTTGCAACACCTGGGGTTGTTTTAGAACTGGTATAAAAAATGCTTTCTGGGGACCACACATTTCATAAATGTTTCCTTCACTGTTTAGTAGACATCTCAGTGGGTTCTGCTTTAACTCAGTTGATGATTGTAATAGAACAGAGTATGATACTGCATTTTTATTTATATTAGAATTGCTGGCCATGGGCACCTAGGGAGCCCCTAGGTATAACTAAAACCTAATTAGGAGAAAAGAACATTGCTGGCTCAATTTCTGAATTGGAGAGTAGAAGAAACATAATTCCTTATATAACAACATAAAATCATTTCAAAATAAATAACTAAAAATGATACTGTTTTGGAAATATGCTTTCCACCTCCCCAAACCAGAAAAGAACAGCAATGTGGTATTGTCTATAGAATTGATTTGATCTTCCGCGAGTTCCTCTATTCCCAGTGTATATAAGCCCTAAAACCGTTTTTGCAAACATCTTATGTCACTTGAGGGTGGAAGAAAGGAAAAGTTAGTCCATAAATGGTTGATGTAAAGTGATGAGACCTTATAGGAGAGACTGAAGGATTGTGACAGACAAGCACTGAGAAAGGGAAAGAGATAAAAAGAAACCATAGTGTGAGTTTCAGGAAACCTTTGATGTGTAAGAAATATGTGGGCATTAGATTAAAGGTTCTCAACATTGACCTCATAATATTCATGATACAAGAATTAGAAGAGCCTTTGAAGAAGATAATAAGAATAAACATACAGTCTTCTTTGAAAAACCCACAGAGCACAAATAAACAAATAAAAATCAATCTGTCCTGTACAAGGTATCCTGCTTACTGTATCAGCAAAAAGAAATCAACTTTGACCTATGCATAAAACCTGAAGGAAAAAGGGACTATAAACAAAAGGCAAATGAAGAACATAATCTGAAGAGGAATGGCACAAGAGAAACACAGAAAGTATTCAAAAAAATAGTTCTCCAGAGTCTCTAAGGAATTACAGACAACACAGCCTCTAGAAAACAATCTAAAAAGACTTCAAAAACGTGACACAGTGAAATAATGGAAGATGAAAATTGATCTGGAAAACTCATAAAGAAATGAAGGAGAAACTGGAAATCATAACAGACATAAAAGCCTCATTAAAGGCAATAAAAATTAGAATATATGCTCTTCAAAACAAAGTCATAGAGGCTAGAATTGAGAAATAAAGACAAAGAAAATAAGCCTCAAAAACCAAATTAGGTTAAAAGAACTATGTAAAAATTACTATAGAGATGATAGATGCGGCAGAGAGAAAAAGGAGAACCAACAATCACAAAATTACTATTTCTGAAGAAAATAACGGAACAAAAAAACTAACACATAAGAAAACTTTCCTGAAGAAAGATTTGATCTGTATAGTGCAAGCATCCTTTATATCGGAAAAAAAACCTTAATACAAAATAATGCTAAAACATATGCTAATACAGTTTCTTTGTTCTCTAAGGATAAAATTATATGGGCATCCTAGCTGACAAAGCAAGTCATGGAATAGGGGAAAATCAGGTGCGTCTTACACTTTTTCAGAGCAGCACTGGCTACATAGCAGTGGGTCTATGGCAACATTTCCAGGGCAAGAAAATATGATCCGAAATATAAAGACAACATTCTCAAGCAGGTAAGAGCTTAGGGATTATGGCATCCATGATAATTATTACAAGCAAGAGATGAATCAAAGTAAAATACTATATAAAATTATCTAAGATTGGGCCGGGCATGGTGGCTCACGCCTGTAATCCCAGCACTTTGGGAGGCCAAGGCGGGCGGATCACGAGGTCAGGAGATCGAGACCATCCTGGCTAACATGGTGAAACCCCATCTCTACTAAAAATATAAAAAAGTGGTGGTGGGCACCTGTAGTCCCAGCTACTCGGGAGGCTGAGGCAGGAGAATGGCATGAACCCAGGAGGCGGAGGTTGCAGTGAGCCGAGATCACGCCACAACACTCCATCCTGGGTGACAGAGCAAGACTCCGTCTCAAAAACAAAACAAAACAAAATATATATATATATATATATATATATATATATGATTAAATAGTCACAGAAATCATAGTTAAATGTTATAAATCCTGAGAGTGTAAAAATAATTACACATACCCACAGATACACACACACACCAACTACCAAAGGGTGGAGAAAAAGGGAAGTGATGGAAAAAACCATGATGTACATCTTTTACAATCAGCTCTCAGAAGATGCTGTTTTAAGTACTAATGTTTCAGCCACTTACAGTTCTTTCATGGTGTCTTAAAAATTACATTTAGAGGAATTTTCAAGGAATTCTACCAACTCATAGTGAAGAAACGTTTCTCTGAATTCCCAACAATTTTTCTCTTTCACTTCATTTTTTTCTTTGATTATCTATGTGGTATTAAAGGCAGCATCTATGAAATTGTCCCATTTTTAAAAGATATTTCATTTCCATCCCTTTGTCTTAGTATTACAGGTGTCTGGAAAGATGTTCACCAGATATGGAAGTTATTCCTGAATGGGGAACTTTTGAGTGATGATTAACTGCCCCCTGTAGAGGAGAGGAGGTCATATGAACAGTTTAGTCAGAGAATAGTTTTAAATACCCAGAAAAATGAGGTATATTTTTGATGCTGTCTTTTGTATATTCTTCCATTTCATTTCTCTTGAAGGAAAAATAAAAGGTAAAACCATTCAATCAGCTTATGCAAGATGCTCACAGTGGCACACTGTTAATCTTTGAAGGAATTACAAAGGAAGCTAAAGAAATTTATTTTTCCATAAATAGTTTACAATTTAACTTGATGGTCTTTAGTTTTTTCCATTTGTTTGGATGCAATGCTAACTTAGTATAACAGAAAAAGGACTCACAAAGAATCGAATGGTGATATTTTTAGGTAGCTCTCTTATTCCTCATTCACACATAATCCATGGCTCTCTTATCCAAGTAATGGGTAATTTTATATTTTGGAACTATTCAAAGTATAAGGCATTGTCTTGGGTAACTACTTTAATGTGAACTTGAACTCTGAAAGAGAAAAATGTCAGCCAAAACTATAATGCCTTAAATATATATTTGGCTATTTGTCACAAGTCACTATTTTGGTTTAAAGGAAATCCTTAACTGAATTAGCAATTATCAAAGAAGTACAAATTTGTTCTATTTGAATAACTCCCATTTCCCCAATAAGAAAAACTAATGACTTGACCATATACTGTGGCCTAGATTTTGTAATCTGTTACTGCTCTAAAGAAAATTTTAAGCTGAATTAGTTATTCACAGATGTATCTACCCAAATGTTTGTTTATAGTCATTCAGTTTGATATTTTTTCTAAATATACTGTCACGTTGTGGGATTCTGTTTGCGTAGCTATAATGGGGTTAACTTTACATTTTTATTTGTTAACATTTTCATGATAGAAGCTGAAATTTTGAAGGTTATGATATCATTTCAAGATTGTCAAAGCTCCCAGTTTGACATATTATTTCTCAAAGTGTATCTAAAAAGAGAGGATGATGGAAGGAATCAGCAGTTACAGAAGTTTGTTAGCATAAAATATATGGGAAGGAGATGAGGAGCTGTATTTAATATGATGAGTAATTTACAATATCTGTGCAAATCAGATACTCGAGTATCTGTTAAATGGGCAGTCTTCCATTTGATTGTGAATACTTAGCTATGATCTAATCTTTTTCCTTTTCTTTTTTTAAAAGTAAATTTAAACATCTGGTCCCTCACCCACTAGATGTTTTTACTCAGTTTAATTGCAGATTGGAAATGCTTTCCTGAAATCATGAACTTTTATTTCTTAAAATTAATTGTGATACAATCACAAAGATGATCATTCACAGTGAGGGCTATATTAACACTTTTTAAATGGTTAATAACACATTGCTCACTGTAGCTGCTTTTGCAACTTTTAGTTTTGTATCTTATTTTGTCCTCCAAGGTAAAATGACGGAGTGAGCATATTGCATAAAAACTAAGATCATCACTCTTCCACTGCCTATCACCCTGTTTATGCTTAACCAAGCATTTATTTATTAGTTCTTAATGGTAAGGGCTACAAGGTTACTACACCTGAGAGAAAAATCTGTAAGACAGGCTTTCTAATTAATCACTGGGAGGGTTCAGGAAGGTCTAGCTATTTCTGTAAACCGAAGCATTTATGCACTCTATTGCAAACGTTGATCATGAAAATGGCAGGTAATGCTTTATTTCTCTAAGTTTCTGTAGTTCCATTAGGAATAATGAACATTTTACATGTCTCTCTGTGTGTATACATGGATGCCATCATTAAAACTAGGGCCTTTGTTCACCTGAGGACAGATAGGGGTACAGTTCTAAGAAAGCCAAAGAGTAGTACCAATATCTCAGGAATGATATGAAATGGTGCTCTGAATTGAAAATCACCATCTCAGAACAAAAGGCTCTGAGAAAGAATAATCAATAGCAACAGACTCTGTTAGTCAAGGTTACCATATCCAGGATCATTTGTGGCTAGTCAAGTTGTCTAGACCATGTGCCTCATTGGGTAATTTTCCTATGTTCACAACAAAACTGCTATGCCATTTGCAGCAGAGCTTCAGGTGAAATAATAACTTAATTGATAGGGATGAGGCTCTTTCCCAGATTGGCCTGGGTCACTGGGTGCAGTAAGAATACATAAGATGGCACCAGCCCCAGTCATATTTACAGGTTTATTCAGGAACTGATATTTCTTTCCCCAGTCCCCAGCATCTGCTTTGGTGTTTCCTGGTGCAGAAACCTGTACAGTCAGAACCATAAAGCATTGCAGATCTTAATAGCCTATTCCTCCTGCTGCTAGCCAGTTCCCTGACATTGGCAGAGATCACCACCCTAGCCACACCGCTGGTATAATTTATCTCTTAAACACAGTAATGTTGATTTCTGAAGCCCAGCACACGTAAAACAGTACACAGAGACGCATCCTCACTCTGCCTGTTTTCATGTCCCTCAAATACAATATAGCAGGCTAGGACCTCTAATCTTCCCCACCACTACCCTTGTGATTTTTCTGTTCTTCCTCCCCTTCATCCTTCCTCATTTCTATAATCCTTACATTTGTGTGCCAGTTGCAGGAGAACAGTGGCTTTTAAGTGTTGTACAGCCATGCAGATGCTAGCCCACTGACCAAATATTCTTTGGCTTTGCCAAATTTTAGTCAGGATTCTGAAAATTCTCCTAGGTCCATCTGTGCACTTCCTTGTTAAATCCAGTTTTAGCAAAAGAACCTTGCTAAATCAGTTTAGCCAGAACCCCCTATCTTTAATATCTGATTATCTTAGATACTCTCATCCTCTACCCATCATCCCCCAAGTGACGTCTGATCACCCTGGCTTGTCTTCAGCAAGAATCCTGATAGGTCAGTTTACCCAGAAGACCCTTTACCCCTGATGTTTCCACTTAGTAATTATCTATCCACTGACCCCCACACTGCTCCTTAGCTATAAATTCTGATTTGCCCACGCTGTATTTGGAGTTAAGCCCAATCTCTGTCCTTCACTGCAAGACCCCATTGAAGTGGTCCCTATACCGATCACAATGGTTCTGAATAAAGTTTTCCTTACTGAGCTTTAATAAGTTTCATGGTGGGGCGTGGTAGCCCACATCTGTAATCCCAACACTTTAATCCAAGACCAGACTGGGTAACATAGCAATACCTCGTCTCTACCAAAAAAAAAAAACCAAAAAACCAAAAAAACAAAAAAAAACAACCTTTTTTTTAATTAGCAAGGCAAGGTGGCATGCACCTGTATTCCAGGCTACTCAGAAGGCTGAGGCAGGATGACCACTTGAGCACAAAGGATCAAGGCTGCAGTAGGCCGTGACCATGCCACTGCACTCCAGGCTGGGTGACGGAGCAAGATCGTGTCTTAATTTTTTTTTAAAGTGTCATTGAATAGTTTTTTATTAACACAACTCCTGGCAAGACTAAGAACAAGGCTGTGGATACTGAGGCCCCACTGCATTTTATTAAATCTATTACATTAATTAATTTAATCTTACATTATACAAATGTATAATAAGTTATACATTTATTAAATCTATTACATTAATTATTATATTAATTACATGTAAATTTATTACATCTTCCCAGATGGCCACTGCTTTCTGTTCTTTTATAGCTGATGGTTCTGTGCGTCACTCTCAGAGTCTCAAGCACCTGTTCCTTCCACTTCAACCAAAATAGTTCTATTTTTTATGCTTTACATATTATGCTTCCACAAAGTATTTTTATGCAGATACTGCTACAGTTTAATAAAAAGAACTTGATCTAAAAAGTTAAAGAAATTAATCACTTAAGGTCCTGATATACATATATATATATATATATATATATATATATATATATATGTTTAAATTCTATATTTCTAGAGAAATAGCAGCTTTGAGGAACAATGGACCTGTGTCCTCTAAGTGAGGAATATAGCAGGAAAAAAGAAATCAAGAAAAAGGAGCGTCAACATAAAAGGGAGCAGAAATTTAAGGAGTAGGAGTAGGAGATAATAGTTATACTGGTATGGGAGTTGTCTTTCTTTGTGAATTGGTTTCAGTTTGGTTTGTTTTGCTTCATTTTAGGAAAAATAAGGATAAATAGTAGAATGAGATGTGTAACCTTATCCAGTTTGCAGGTCAAGGGTCCTGAGTTCTAGTGCTGGTTCTGTTTTATTTGGATGACTGCCTACCCACCTTAAGTAGCCCGCCCCCTCCCTCAAATATTTCCTATTTCCTTTTGCCTAGTTCTATAAGCATAGAATGGTCATGATATCAGAAGTTTAGCAGTAAGGAGAAAGGGCCAAGATGGCTGACTGGATGCAACTAGGAAGAGCTTCTCCCACCAACAGAGAAAAGAACATCAAGTAGACTGACACTCTGAGCAGATCTTCGAAAAGCAGGCATTGAGAGTGGATAGAGGAAGGATGCAGACCACAGGGCTGACAGGGGAGGAAGCTAGAAACCCTGCACTGGGTTGCCAAGCACTAAGGCTTATTCCTGGCCCTGAGGAGCTCCTAGGAAAGGGGTGAGTAAAATTGGTGTGGAGCAGCCCACTCTTATCACGGATCTCCAGGATCATAGCTATGGGAGACCCCTATGACCCACACAGACATTTGAGTTGGCAGGGAGAACTACCCAGAGAGTTGGCAGAGACAGAACTCCAGTTTGCATGGAGCCTACAAGGTTTGGCGTGGGGACAGCTGCAGTGGAACATGGCCGTGGGTGCCCAACCCCAAGGCTCACCACTCTTCTCTAGGTGGCTATAGCCTTTGTTAGCTGCCAGACCTGGAGAGAATAGTGCTGTAATGCCTGCAGGACTGGGCCAGTCTGGTCTGAATGACCCTCTGTCTGCCAGTCTCTCCCAGGGTCCCTGTCTGGCCACACCAACTTACAGCACAGCCTCAGCTTCCCCACTAAAGCACTTTCCAGTGGCCACCACCACAATTCTTTAGCTGATAGCTGTCGCCCTCCCATCAGAGTGCTTTTGCAGACAGACCTCCACTGGTGCGCACTTTGCTGCAGCCTCCCCCGCCAGCATGCACTTGCCTGCAGCATCCCCCAACTGACATGTACTCACCCACAGGCTCCTCCCACCATCCCACCAGCACATGAGTGCTGCCACACTGGTATGCATGCATGGGGGAACTCACCACTGCCTCACTGATACACACATGCCCACAGCCACCCCACTATTGTACGTGTGTGTGGTCCCCCAACTTCCCCACTGGTGTACACACACCCATGCCCCCAACCACTCTGTCAGTATGCAGTTACCCTCAGCTGCCTCACTGGTGCACACTTGCCCACACCCCCCTTCCCCATCAGAGCACTTTTGCTGGCAGTCCTCATTGGGGTGTTTTTGTCAGAAAACTGGGAGTACCTTGGCTCCTCTGGTGCAACAGGTGCTTGACCTTGAGGGACCAGAGAACAAAGCCAAGGGCCTGGTCCCTGCCCCCCAGGGTTAGAGCACACAGCCCAGGAGTGCTGAGAAAAGCCTTGGCCCCCTGGAGGCATGCAGAAATTAAGACAGTTGAATAAACCCAACTTATACTACAGTAAACCTTCAAGGGCACAAAAAATATAAAAGCAAAAAGCCCCATCCCAGGACATTCAAAAAGATTAAAGGAACATCAGCCTACACAGATGAGAAAGAACCAACACAAGAATTCTGGCAACTCTAAAAGCGAGAGTGTCTTCTTACCTCAAAATGATCATACTAGCTCCCCACCAATGGTTCTTAACCAGACTGAAATGGATGAAATGACAGATATCGAATTTAGAATCTGGATGGCAAGAAAGCTCAAAAAGATACAGGAGAAGTTTGAAACCCAATCTAAGGAAAAGAGTAAAATGATCCAAAAGTTGAAAAACAACATAGTCATTTTAAGAAAGAACCAAATTGAACTTCTGGAAGTGAAAAAATTCACAACAGGAATTTCATAATACAATTGAAAGTGTTGATAGCAGAATAGACCAAGCTGAGGAAAGAATCTCAGAGCTCAAAGACCAAAGACCACCCCTTTGTTGTTGTTGTTGTTTACTGTAAGTTTTGGGATACATGTGCAGAACGTACCGGTTGGTTATCTAGGCACATAGGTGTACATGTGCCATGGTTTGCTGCACCTATCAACCCATCATCTAGGTTTTAAGCCCTGCATGCATTAGGTATTTGTCCTAATGCTCTCCATCCCCTTGCCTCCCACCCCCTGACAGGCCCCAGTGTGTGATGTTCCCCTCCCTGTGTCCCTGTGTTCTCATTGTTCAACTCCCACTTATGAGTGAGAACATGCAGTGTTTGGTTTTCTGTTCCTGTGTTAGTTTGCTGAGGATGATGGAAGACCACTCCTTTGAATCAATGTAGGCAGACAAAAATTTAAAAAAAAAAAAAATTTAAACTCTCTCTCTTTGCAGACAATATGATTCTACCCCTAGAAAACACCACAGTCTCTGCCCAAAGGCTCTTAGAACTGATAACTTCAGTAAAGATTCAGGATACAAAATCAAAGTCCAAAAATCAGTAGCATTTCTAAACACTGATAACATCCAAGCTGAGAGCCAAATCAGGAATGCAATCCCATTCCGAGTAGCCACAAAAGGAATAAAATACCTAGGAATACAGGGAAGATAAAGATCTCTACAATAGAAATTACAAAACACTGCTGAAAGAAATTAGAGATGACACAAACCCATGGAAAAACATTCCATGCTTATTAATAGGAAGAATCAATATTATTAAAATGTCATACTGCCCAAAGTAATTTTCAGACTTAATGTTCTGTCAAACTACCAATGTCATTTTACACAGAACTAGAAAAAAACTATTCTAAAATCCATATGGAACTGAACAAGAAACCAAATAGCCAAAGCAACCCTCAGCAAAAAGAACAAAGCCAGAGGCTTCACACTACCTTACTTCAAACTATATTACAATGCTATGGTAACCAAACAGCATGGTACTGATACAAAGACAGACACATAGACCAATGGAACAGATTAGAGAATCCAGAAATAAAACTTCACACCTACAACCATCTGATCTTTGACAAAGTCAGCAATAACAAGCAATGAGGAAAGAACTCATTCAGTAAGTGGTGCTGGGATAACCGGCTAGCCATATGCAGAAGATTGAAACTAGATCCTTTCCTTTCCCTATGCACAAAAAAATCAACTCATGATGGATTAAAGACTTAAATGTAAGACCTAAAACTATAAAAACCCTAGAAGAAAATCTAGGAAATGCCATTCTGGACATTGGCCTTGGCAACAATTTCATGATGAAGTCCCCAAAAGCAATTGCAATTGCAACAAAACCACAAATAGAAAGTGGGACCTAATTAAACTAACAATCTTCTGCACAACAAAAGAAACTATCAACAGAGTAAACAGACAACCTACAGAATAGGAGAAAATATTTCCAAACTATGCATCAGAGAAAGGTCTCATATCCAGAATCTATAAGGAACTTAAATCAACAAGCAAAAAAACAAACAATCCCATTAGAATATGTACAAAGGACATGAGCAGACACTTCTCAAAAGAAGACATACACATGGCCAACAAGCATGTGAAAAAAATGGTCAACATCACGAATCATTCAAGAAATGCAAATCAAAACCACAGTGAGATACTATCTCACACCAGTCAGAATGGCTATTATTAAAAAGTCAAGACACACCAGATGTTGACAAGGTGTGGCAAAATGGGAATGCTCATACACTGCTGGTGGGGATGTAAATTAGTTCAGTCACTGCAGAAAACAGTTTGGAGATTTCTCAATGAATATAAAACAGAACTACCTTTGAACTTAGCAATCCCATTCCTGGGTACATACCCAAAGGAATATAAATCATTCTACCAAAAAGACACATGCACTTGTATATTCATTGCCACACTATTCACAATAGCAAAGACATGGAATCAATCTATGTGGCCATCAACAATGGATTGAGTAAAGAAAATGTGGTACATATACACTATGGAATACTACATAGCTGTAAAAAAAATGAAATAATGTTCTTTGCAGCAACATGGATGGAGCTGGAGGCCATTATCCTAAGTAAATTAATGCAGGAACAAAAAACCAAATACTGCAAGTTCTAATTTATAAGTGAGAGCTTAACATTGAATACATGTGGAAACAAAGATGGGAACAATAGACATTGGGGACATCTTGAGGTGAAAGGGTGGAAGGAGGATAAGGGTCGAAAAACTACCTATCTGATACTATGCTCATTACCTGGGTGATAAAATAATCTGTACATCAAACCCCCATGACATTCTATTTACCCATTTAACAAACCTGCACATGTACCCTCTGGACCTAAAATAAAGTTAAAAAAAAAAAAAGAAGTTTCGTCAGTAGAAAATAAAGCAGAAATAAAGGGAAGTGGAACAGAAATTACAAAGCAAAAGAAGATTGTGATGATTTTAATATTTTGATATTGTATGTTATTATGCTTGATGACTTAGTTGGATTCCTCCAAAAGCTGACCTCAAGATTAGGATTACATTGTAAGGTTATATGGGAAGTACAGGGACATTAGCAGGGGAGTAGAGCTGATACAGGAAAAAATATGTAGCCAGTAGTGTGCAAAATTAAGCCAGCTACCCAATGGGCAAGTGAAGCTTCATTCCCTAAGGAATGCCTTGGAAATAGTATAAAACACACCTCAGAATTAACCTGGCTAAGGAGTAAGGGAGCCGAGGTCCGTATATCCCCACAACCTTCATTTTCAGCTAAGGGCTACTTAGCTGAAATCGCATGTACCCTGACAGAGTAGATTCCAACAGCCTGGAAGCAACCCTCCTGCAGAGATGCAGGTGCTGGCCATTGGTGGTTGGGCTGCAGGGCACAGAATTGGTAAGGGGCACTGAGGGGCCATGGGCAGATTTCCAACAGCATCTGCCACTGTTGTCACTTAATGTATCCATGAGTAAGGTTACTACCTAGTGAGGTAGTAATGCAGCCATATCCTGTTAAAGAAGAAAAAGTTTGAAGAAAAGAGCTAAGAATCATGACTTTGGTAACTAAATTTTTCTTTCAAATGTTAATTTTATACAACTTTATATTACATGTGACTATAACATATGTCCCTTTGTTGGTGATTCTCAAATGTTTCAAACTGGATAAAATTAAATTTAAAAAAAAAAAGAGCTCTTGTCACTTTTCTTACCTAATCAGAATTTGTGTAGTGAATTTAAAAAGAAGAAAAAAAAAACGTTGTTACAATTTTGGAGCCAGGGAGCATGTGTTTAAAAGGAATCTCCTTTTTTTCTATATGCTTTTCCTTTTATCCCAACAGGGAACCTAAATCTGTTTTAATTGCACACACACAGACAAAAAGTCATTTTGTATCTGCCAAGTGTGGTACCTTCCTTTGTTTATTTGCTATTAAACTGTTTTAGAAGAAAAATAATTAATTTTTAAATTTGTGGTAATTATTACATTTTTGTGTTCTGTATTGATGGTATGAAATTATCAATTCAAAAATCTGCATTAGAATTTATTGGATTGGCTTATAGAAATCATTGATGCTACACTTATGTATTCATTTATTTCTGCCTTATCTTGTTTGGAATAGGATTTAACTATAACCCAGATTCCTTCATAGGGAAATCAAATTCAAGAATTTGAAAAATTAGCTTAAAGGAATTGGATTCAGTCAGTCACCACGGGGAGTACAGAGATTGTTAATTTGTAGTCAGACAGAAGTGGGTAAGAATTTTACCTCCTCCATTTTGCGTTGTGACCTTGAGTAAGTTACCTCATCTCTCTTAAACTCAGCACCGTTATCTCTAATCTGGAGAATATTATGAAACCCCACAGAGTCATCATGAGGATTTGGTGAAATGATGTATGGACAGTACCCCAGTGCCTGACATGCAGTGCAGTATATACTTAGCTAGAGTTAGCTCTAAGAAAAGATGAACACATGGCAAAAAATACAAGACAGAAGTGATTAAATGCTACATTTTGTAGTGCAGACATTAAGTGTGAAGGAGGTGAGAGATCACTGAGAGCCAAAGTAATCAGAGAAGATTTTGTGGAAATTGAATATGGGTCCAGAAATATGTGAAGGATTTAGGTTAGGGGAATGAGAAGATGTAATCTTGATAGGTAAAAGCAGCAGCAAGGAAGAGTGAATAATGGCAAAGCAGGAAGAGGTAAGGCCCATCAGATCCAGACTGTCCCTCTGCGGCCTGGTGGTGGCCCTGACAGAGACAGATGGGTGGCCAGCCGTTGGCTTGGAGGTGGAATATTCACTCCACTTTGGATTTCTAGAATTTGAAGTGACAAGAAGATGGCTGAGTGAATACACCTCACATAGCTGGAGAAGGGGGCAGGTATTCCAAAGAGACTACTATTTGGGGGTCACTGGCCTCATGGTGATAGTTAAACTCAGTGAGATCCCAGTGAGAGAGAGGGGAGAAAGCATACCCAAGGACTGAATTTGCTGAGGATGCTATCCACTGTCATAGAATGGAAGGCAGAGGGACTCAATCAGAAATAAACCCACCAAGAGGGGTGGTCAGGACATGAGAAGAAAAGCCAGGAGAGTGGTGTGAAGGCCAATAAAAGAATGGCTTTCAGCATGAGGGGTTAGCAGGAGCCTGGGGAGGGCAGAGAGGAGACATTGTCTGCAAGCAGCTGCTTCCTCTCCTAGGAAAAATAAAACCAGTATCTCCAAAGTGAGCCCTGGAAGGAGAACCTTTGTCTAGGGAGGGAAATTGACCAGCTGTTCTGTCTCTATTGGTTTGACCTTTACCTTGGGTTTGTTTGTGCAGGTGATCATGATTCTGCTCTTCCCTATCTCCTGCCTCCACATCCCCAGCCCTATCCCCAAATAATATGCTTTTGGGTGCTCTGGCTTCAGCAGGACAAACAGTTATCCTTTATTCCCCTTTAGAACAAATTGGGGCAGACTAAATCTTTAAGACATTTCACAAAGTGCTAAGAGATGACAAGAAAATAAACAGGAGGTGGTACAGAGCATGGACTCCAGAACTAGGCCACTTTGGTTTGAATCCAGTCTCTTCCATTTCCTAGCTTCATAACCTTTGCAAGGTACTCAACATCTCTGTGCCTCAGTTTTCTAATCTAAAGAATGAGAATGATAACAGTACATATTTCATAGGGTTGTTGTGAGATCTAAGTAGATTTAATAAAGTTCTTAGATGAGTGCCTGACATATTTTCAGTGCAATGTAAGTATTTGCTATTAAATAAGCACAGAGTACAAAGAATTGAAAGAACAGGATACAGAATGGTTAAGAGAATAGATAGTAGAGCCAGACTTCCTGAGTTCAAAACTCTGCGCTGCCATTTGCTAGCTGTGTAACCTTGGCTGAATTACTTCACCCCTCTGGCCTCAGTTTCATCAGCTATAAAAGTTGGAAAATCATACTAATTCATAAGTGTGAGGATTTAAAGGGTCAATACATGTATTTTGTAAGTACTTAATAATTAACAGCCATTATTATTAGCTGTGTGACTTTTCAATGTGGCATTCTGATCACTAGAGGTCACAGATGCTGTTCCATTTTATACCTGATACAGAGGAAAAAGAGGCCTCCCCCTGGGTTCTGGCACGCCCTCATGGTAGGTGCAGCTTCATTCATGTGCTCACCTCTTCACAGTCAGGAACAGGATGAAGGGACTGTCCTTTCTTTCACCTAGCTAAGCTGCTCAGATTTCCTTTTTGAGACCTACCCTTTTCTGTGATAACTGTATGTGAACCTCTCAAATCAACTAGGGGGAGCTTTCTTGTATTATAGAAACCATTTTAATGTAATCAACTGAGGCTAGCATTCATGTAACAAAATTTGATCACTGCAAAAATGAAGATAATATAGTAATTGGGGAGAGGAAGTGAGAAGGGAACTGCGTTCTAGAAATGTATGTGTTATAGCTCTAAAAATCCCTTCTCTAAAAGCAGAGAAAGCCAACTCCACATATAAAAGGGTAAGGTTTCTGTGGCAAAGAGCTGGGGGTTTCTTGAGTCAGGGAGAGTGTACCTGAGGGGAAGGAAATAACCGCTGTGGCTAGATTCTATACCCAATTGTGTTTGTCCAGAGCTATCATTTCTTCACTAATGCCTACAGGGTGGATGGCAGGTAGTGCTGGCCTGACTTGACCTGTGACCAGACAAACATTCTGCCACTGGCGCAGGTAAGGGTAGTTAAAAAAAAAGTCTCATTAAGTAGATAAAGAACTACCCTTATATCCCAATCATTTGGATGCTTCAGCTTCCAGAGGCCTTGCAATCAGCGGAATCCATATAAAAAGATACTTTAAATAGTGATTTCCTCAAAATAACAATCTATAAAACATATATAGTATATTTCTTTTTACCATAAAAGAAAATTAGATTATCAGAAATAGAGGTTATAAATCATATGTAATATGTCTGAACTTTTTATGTACCATAATAACTAATCACTTGGCTATCAGGGCACTGGGGAAATTACAGTAAATTATATTTTGTGGGATATGCACTACATGAATGAAGCCAAGAATATTATACAAGTGACCTTCACCTTGTGTGATGTGATAGAAAAAAATGATGCTGTCCTAATAACTTCATAGGGTTAATTAGTTTTGGAAAACACACAAGAGGCAGCGATGTCACAGAGCTTTTTTATTTTCTTTCCCGTGGGAAGTTGGACTAATAAAAATGAAAAACATTTCAAGTAGCTAAGTAAGAAAGAAGAGTTGCATAGAGTTAGAACGCCTAGTTCGCTTTCTCTGTAAGCTGCAAATCTTATTCTTTTTTTGTGCATCTTTTCCCATTGACTTGGGAATCTTTGAAATAGCCATTGTTTCTAAAACCTGCTCTGACGATTGATTTTTTAATTCACTGATGAACATGAATCTATTTAATCAGATAGGGAACTGTGCAGATAGGGAGACATTTATCTGTATAAAATATGCAGCTTTGTTTGGTCTCTCCACTTGGATCCCCAGTGGGGGTGGAGGTAAAGTTTCCACAGTCATGCTGATTTCAGATGAATAGGTTTGCTGGTGTCAAAGACAGGCTGCAGCACTCCGCTGGCATCTGGGGTACAGAAGGCTAATTCTTCTGAATAGAGCCATTGATGATTACATTTTGGAGAAACTTAATCATAGAGTAATTAGGCTTTAATTCTTACAAAAACTTACAATTAATTGGATCTTTTATACAACTTTTTTTGTTTGATTTAAAGTACCATGTAGGTTAGTTATAGAAACTTAATTTAAATATGGATTTAATTAGAATTGTTTTATGATTTTAATGAATCCTAAAAGTCTTTTGATGAGCAGCCTGTATAATTATGGCATTTAAAATGATTGGGTAAATGCATACTTTTATAATTTACCTTTCAGGAAACTGTATTTTTATGGAGACTATTTTCTGCATGATGAATTGTTTCATTTTGTGTTCAGTTTTTGTGAGTATGGGTGCTTAGTCCTGCCCCTAATCACCCAAATGTTTTCTCTCTAGAATGAAATTAAACATTCATGGAATCAAAAGCATCAGGATGTAGCCAAATACTACAGCTAAATTTAATCACAGGAATATTTTTGTTTTTATTATAAATGAGAATGAATCACTGCTAAAACTTTTAGCTGGTAATACAATTTTTCTACATAATGAGGTACCTACAAGTTACCTGATGACAAGCTCCTTTTCTATAGAAAAAATATGTGATTTTAAGCAAATGATTTGAATTCATTTAATGGAATTTAATATTGAGTTGTCAACTTTGTAACATAATGTCAAAGCAAAAATGAGTACTTTCAATAAACATGAAAAATTTAAAAATCAGAAAAGAAAGAAAAACATTAGATAATATCTCCTCTTTGAACAGACCCCATTCCTACCCATACTAACTCAGATGTCTAGCATTTGGTGTTTTTCTGCTGATTTTTTTAAAAGGGTGCGTTAAGTAAGTAATATTAAGACACATGTTTTTATTTTCCATTTTTAATGATACTATTATCATTAAATGTTCTATCCTTCACTTTGCAGTTTAGGTTCAATTATTTACATGTTCCTGGAACACAAACAGCCAATTCAATTCACCATATCAAAATAGTATAGGAGAAAAAAAAATGTAGTCATTGCAATAGATGTAGAAAAATGTTTGACAAAACAATTCCATAATAAAAACTCAGTAAACTAGGAACAAAGGAGAACATACCAACTTGATTAGGGGCACCTATGAAAGACCTACAGCTAATACCATACTCAAAGATCAGTAATAAGGCAAGGATTGTCTTCTCCCAAACTCTTTTAAACATCGTATTAGACAAAAAAAAAAAAAAAAAAAAAAATAGCTGGGCGTGGTGGCGGGCGCCTGTAGTCCCACCTACTCAGGAGGCTGAGGCAGGAGAATGGCGTGAATCCAGGAGAAGGAGCTTGCAGTGAGCCAAGATAGTGCCACTGCACTCCAGCCTGGGCGACAGAGCGAGACTCCGTCTCAAAACAAACAAACAAACAAACAAACAAAAAACATCGTATTAGATATTTTGGCCAGTGCAATAAGACAAGCAAAGAAAACAGAAAGCATGCGAATAAGAAAGGGAGAAGTAAAGATGTCCTTCTTTGCAAATGACGTGATCGGCTAGGTAGAAAATCATAAGGAATCCACAAAAAAGGTATTAAATCTAATGAATAAATTTAGCAAGATTGCAGGATACAAAGTCAATATAAAAACTGGTATTTCTATATGTTAGCAAAAAAACAGTTAATAATAAAAATTTTTAAACTTCAATTTCAAATAGCATAAAAATATTCAAGAATAAAAATAACAAAAGATATGCAAGACGCGAACACTTAAGTCTATATAACATTGCAAAAGGAAAGTAAAACATTGCAAAAAAAGTAAAAGGTAAAATAAGTAAATAAATGGGGGAATAAATTCATGTTAATGAATTGAAGATTCAATATTTTTAGATGACAGTCTTCCCCAAATTGATCTATAAATTCCACAAAATCCCAATTAAAATTCAAACAAGATTATTTGGCAAGATAATTTTTAAATTTATATTAAAAAGTAAAGGATTCAGAATGACCAAACAATTTTGAAAAGGGAGGATGAATTTGGAGGGGTTACATTACCTGATTTAAAGACTTCCTATAAAGCTACCTTAATCAAGACAGTGTAGAACTGACTAAAGAATGGACTTTTTCATAGGAAAATGAATCTTAATAAAGAGTCTAGAAATAGATCCATGCTTATATGGTCAATTTATTTTTGACAAAAGTGCTAAGTTATTTCAATGGAGGAAAAAAACAGTCTTTTCAATAAGTGATACTGGAACAACTGGATATTTACATAAGGAAACATATGAGCTTTTATCCTTATTTCACAGCTTTTCACAAAGATTAACTTAAAATGAATTTTAGATATAAATATGAAGACCTAAACTACTCAACTTCTGAAGAAAACATAGGAAAGAAAATCTTTATGACACTAGGTTAGGCAAAGATTTCTTAAACTTGACACAAAAGACAAAAACTGTGAAAAGAGAAATGAAGTTAAAATGGACTCTCATTAAGATTAAAAACTTTTTTCTTCCAAAAGACATACTTAAGAAAACAAAGAGGCATGCCAAGACTAGAAGGAATTTTTTATAGACGATTCTTGACAAAAGGCTCGAATCCAACATGTATAAAGAACTCTTACAACTCAATGGGAAAACTCAATTTCATAAATAGGGAAATACTTAAGCACACACTTTTCAAAAGATAATATACAAATGGCCAACGAGCACAGGTAAAGATACTCAACATTGATAGTTATCTCAGGGAAACGTAAATTACTACCAGTGTAAGGTACTACTACATACCTACTGTAGAATGGCTAAAAGTTAAAAGACTGCCAATAATAAGTGTTGACAAAGATGTAAAGTAATTGAAACTTTCATACAGTGTTGGTGGGAATAAAAAATGGAACAGCCACTTTAGAAATCAATCTGACAGTACATTATGAAGAGTTAAATATATTTTTTCCATAGAACACAGGAATTCCCCTCCCAGCTATTTTATTCAAGTAAAAATACATGTCCATGCAAAGATGAGGTTGCAAATGTTTATAGCAGCATTATACATAACAACCAAAGTGGGAAGCAACCCAAATGTCCATCAACTGTTGAACGAATAAACAATGGTGATATATCTCTACTATCAAATATTACTCAGCAATAAAAATAACAAAATATGAATAACTCAAAAATGTGAACGAATCTCAAAAACATGCTAAGTGAAAGGACCAAAGACAAAAGACTATGTACTACATGATCCCATTAATATGAAATTCTAGAAAAAGCAAAACTATAATGACAGAAAGCATAGCCGAACTGGGAAATGTTACTGAGTGCAAAGAGGTATGAGAAAACTTATTTTTACTAACAGGTATTAAAGAGCTATCAGTATGGCATAAGAAAGAACTTTCTCACAATTAAATATGAAGTCTTCATCAAATAGAGAGGTCCAAATACTTACAAATTACAATAAATGCCTCAAAGTATCAACACTTTATAAAATATGTTACAGTGTTCTGTCTTATTTTCTGGTGTACTGTCTTAATTCAGACGATTGTAACAGAATACCATAGACTGGTTGGCTCAAACAACAAACATTTATTTCTCCTCTGGAGGCTGGGAGTCACGATCAGGGTGCTAGCCTGGCCAGGTTCTGGGGAGAGTCCTCTTCTGGGTTGTAGACAGCCAACTTCTCATTGTGATCTCCTCCCATGGTGGAAAGAGGATGAGAAATCTCTCTGGGGTCTCTTTTATAAGGGCATTAATCAAATTCATGAGAGCAATACTTTTGTGACCTAATCGTCTTTGAAAGTTCCCACCTTCTAATACCATCATACTGGCTGTCAGGATTTCAACATATGAATTTTGGAGGAATACAAACATCCAGTCCATTGCATGTACATTGTGCTCCATTTGTTTTCTTTGACAGTTGAGGCTGTTGTGTTAACTTAAGAGTTACTATCATTTCTGAAGTTTAATCATTGCTGACAATATTACCAGTTCAGAATTTGAGGGAGTTTAGGCCTTGGAATTTGTTTTTTAAAAAATAACTCCCGGTCTGGCGCGGTGGCTCATGCCTGTAATCCCAGCACTTTGGGAGGCCGAGGTGGGCGGATCGCGAGGTCAGGAGATCAAGACCATCCTGGCTAACACGGAGAAACCCCGTCTCTACTAAAAATACAAAAATTAGCCAGACGTGGTGGCGGGTGCCAGTAGTCCCAGCTACTCAGGAGACTGAGGCAGGAGAATGGAATGAACCCGGGAGGCGGAGCTTGCAGTAAACCGAGATCTCGCTACTGCACTCCAGCCTGGGCGACAGAGTGAGACTCCATCTCAAAACAAAACAAAAAAAAATTAAAAAAAAAAAAAAAAAAAAACTCCTTTCTCTCAGATTTCTGTTTTTCATCTTTTTTTTTTTTTCCTTCCCTCCAATGAACTCCTGCTTCCACCATCCCTAATTTCACAACAGTTCTGCCTGTCTGAATCTGAACTGGCTAAAAAATGCTAGTTTTCTTTGCCACTTTTCTTCAAGCCATCTAATCAGAATTTTCAGATTTACCTTTTCTTCTTCCTACTCAACAACTCCCTAGCCCCCAGCCCCAGTCTTAGTCCTTATGATGTGCCTGCATGGATTATTTTAGCAGCGTCCTTGTTCCCAGTCTTTCTCAATTCCGATCCACCTTTGCACTGTATTTCAGTGTCAAACTTGCCTTTATTCACTATCAATTTCAGGAGTTTATTCTTCGGCTCAAGAACTTGCAGTAATTTTCTATTATATGATCCATCAAGTCTGAACTATTCCCAATAGGCTTTTAAGTCCATCTGCAAATGGCTCTACTACATGACTTCTGATCCCTTTGTTGTTCTATACACACTGGCCCCTCTCTGCCTCTGGAATATATGTGCCCACCCTCATGTCTTCCCTTGGGTTTTGGTCATCTTTTCTCTACCCAAACTGAAGGCATCCTTCAACTCCTACTTCCCTCACAACACCCTCTCTGGTAGCTCCTGCTCTTACCAAACTATGTCCTTTCTCAGTTTCTAATGAATGAACAATGCTTTGATCTCAGTAGCTCCTTCGTGTGTATACATGATTGGTCTATCTCTGAGCAGGATTATGTGCTTCCTAAAGGCAGAGACCAGATCTTATATTGGATTTGTTTACTCAAAATGTCAAATACAACACAAGACATATAGTACATAATATTACTAACTTTGCCATGTACTTTTCACCATATATTTGCTTATTTGCTTTACATCATAAATAACCTAATTAAGCACCTACAAATTGACTTATTTATTATCACATATCCCTTGCTTATGTCATTTGTTGTCCTACAATTCTCTTTTTACCTCTTTACTTCTTCCAAATGGAAATATTATTTACTGCTTTAGAAAGGTCAGTAAATATTGGCATTTGTACACCAATAATCAAAATCATCTATACTATCCTATATAAATTTATGAACAATCCTAACCATTAAAGATTATGTGGAGTTTTTAAAAAATTAAAAATAAACTAAACTTATATGCAAATAAAATACTCACAATTCCTTAACTACAATTCTGAAATACACATAACTCTTAAACTAAAAGTCTTTTCTTATAAGTTGATAGTCTTAATTTATTCCACCTAAAATGAATGTTTATATGTTTTGCTGCAGATATATTAATGTGTTTGGTTGTATAGTACTACCCTATACTCTGTTGGGAAGGTTACTTTAAATAAACAGAAAATGCATTGTATTACCTTTCCAAAGTCTGAGTTTTGAAAATGACCTCAATGGTTTCAGGTAAGGGAATTGTGTAATACATTTGTATAGTGCTGTGCAGACCTTTGCTTAATCATCTCAGTTAATGCTCCAAATAATGTTATGGTAGCTATTATTAATATTTCCATTTTCTATACTAGAAAACTAAGATGCAAAGAAATTATGTAACTTGCTAGTAAATGATACAACTGAAGCTCATATTTTCTAATTTTAAAATCTATGCCCTTTTTTTCTGTGCCAATATCTTGAACAGATGGTTTGAATCTCTACTCTTTAAGAATCATAATAAACTGGAACTAGGAATTTTTATATATCCTGACCTATCTATGTGTATCCAGAACATGTACTCCATACATTATGAACTGGCAAGCCTGCTGTGGTGAATGGAGAGCTTGTTGAGTACAATTGCTGAAATAAGACCAGAGTGCAGGGGTAATTCTTCCAGGGTCTTATAATTTGAGAAAAACTTAAAATAAGGAAAGGTCAGCATTTAATTCAGTAGCTACAGGTAAAACCTGTAGTGGGTATCTAAAAACAAGTGGGATGAATACAAATATTTAATATGTGGCTTCCTTATAAAGTCAAAGAAGCACTTAAATCAATGCATATACCTCTCAACCATACACCATATTCTTTTGATAAGTAGGCATCAATAATCTTCAGCATACTCAAGGCTCTATGTGGTTAATTACAGTATGTCCTCAGCCCTAGAAGTATATGAAATATAATTCAAAGTGTGTCATAAAGATGCCTAGAGCAGTAGATTGTTATAGTGATGACTTCCAATAAATTACAAGTCCCAGGATCCCATACTGACTCTGGGCTTGGTCCTGTGACTTGCTTTGGCCAAGGGACATCAGCAAACATGATGAGAGTAGAAACTGGTGCATTGGGGCTGCCCTTTAGAAAACCATCATGCTGTGAAGAAGACTGACATGAAAGACAATACCCGCAGAGAGCCCCAGCCTGATTAGATGAGCTATCAGATTGGTAAGTCTAGGCAAGACAAGCAGAGCTTCCCAGAGAATTGTGAGAAATAGTTGATTGTATTGTTTTAATTCACTAAGTTTTGGGGTGGCTTGTTATACAATAGATAACTGGATACACCCAGCTGCCAGTTTTTCATAAGGGGAAATGACTTCAGCCTGAGTTGTGGATTCTTCATTGACAAAGTACAGAAGGTACAAACTTAAGATGAAATGATAAATTTAAATAGATACCAAAGACTGAGTTTCCTCTGATCTTTGCATTTAAACCCTAATATTTTTTAAAGACTTGTGTATGTGTGTGTATATGTGTATATATAAATATATGCATTTTCATAAGTTTAATCTTCTTTAAAATAATTTACATGATAATAGCACAAAACCTGTGCATAAGTTTCTTAAATATTTGCATCTATAAAGTATAGGAGGTTTTGTTGAATATAGACAAGATAGAGTCTATGCCTTCTTTTTAGACTAAGAACAAAAAGCAGATAAAACATTCTAATATAAAGAGTATGAGGTCTGTGTTTGTGTGAATGATCAATGTGTTTAAAAGCAGAAAAGAAACCATAAATGGACAGCAAGTAGGTTGGCCTTTTCAGAGTGAGAATGCATGTATGAAAATGGCAAAAGAACTGCTGGAGTCTTAAGAGTTCTTGCATTCCAATGTAAAATGTAAAAATGGGGATAATAATATTTACACTGAATAGTTGTTTCAGAAATAAATGAGATAATAAATATGGAAGGGAAAATATAGCACCTGATAGTCATATTTCTTTCTTCCATGCTACCTCACTTCCTTTCATCCTTAACATCTCTAGGAAAATCGTTTCTCTACTCGCGACACTTAGAATACTAAATGTTTGGGTTCTCCACAGCATGCAGTTCTCCAGTTCTCTGTAGACACCAACTGCATGTCCTACTATTAAATTTAACTCTGATACCAACTACCCGGAGTTAGTGCAGTCCCCACAGGTTAAAGGCTCAGTCCTACAAGATTGCCCCTCATTTTGGATGCCAATCACAAGTGGTGGGTCTCCAGGTTAACCACATTTCTGACTTGGCTACAAATCTGGGGTTCCCACAACTCATTCAGGTTTGATAATTTGCTATAATGGCTCATAAAACTCAGGGAAACACTTAAGTTTATTGTTTATTATAAAGGATATTATAAAGGTTTATTATAAAGGATATTATAAAGGATAGAAATACACAGCCAGATGAAGAGGTACATAGGCTGAGGTCCAGAATGGTCCTGCCTGAGCACAAAAGCTTCTGCAGAGTAGAGATGTGCCACCCTCCTGGCATGTGGATGTGTTCACTAACCCAGAAGCTCCCACACTCTGTCATTTAGGATTTTTATAGAGGTTTCATCACATAAGCATGATTGATTAAATCATTGGCCATTGGCTCAATTTCCAGCCCTTTTCTCCTTCTGGGATGTCAAGGGGTTGGGCTGAAAGTCTCAACCCTCTAATCATGCCTTGATCTTTCTGAGAACCAGCCCCATCCTAAAGTTACTCAGGGACCCCAGCCAGTAGTCATCTCATTAGCATATAAAATGACACTCTTATCACTGGGTCTTAGAAGCTCTTTTATCAGGAACCAGAGACTAAGACCAGAACAAAAGATTTATAACAAAACATGCTCCTATTATCCCTATCACTTTGGAAATTACAAGGGTTTTAGGAGCTCTGTGTCAGGAACTGGGGCAGAGACCAAATATACATCTCTTCTTATGTCACAAAATTCATAACAGATTTTAGTTCATTTTGATTCTTAAGAGTTGTCATGGTTTTGTATATCAATTATTTTTGGTGTAGCAGGTAGGTGATAATTTGTATTTAATACTTTTAGCTGAATGATGAGGAATAGTGTAAAGAGTGAATCCTTTACAAATGAATCCTTTCCAAAGGATTCATTTCTGGCTGTACAGAATTTTTTTGGTAGTTTGACCTTGAATCAGAAAGAAACAAAAACAAAACCCACAAACTCTCTTCCTTGCTCTTCTGTGCTAAGATATACACAACCTCTTGGGACAGAACAGGCTAGGAGGTGAGCTACAAGAAAAACCATAATTACTAAGAACCTGTTCCCTACCTTACTAGAGATACCACTGTGCAAACTGCCTATCTATTCATTTAGTCCTCAAATATTTGCTGAGCAGAATCACCAAATAATTCACTAGGTTCTGAAGTTATTGAGATAATAGATTCAGTCCTGCCATCAAAAAGAGAGGGGACAACACAGTAGGGGGACACAGAAGTTTAAAAAATAACTGCAAATAATCTCTCAAGGTATGCAATATTAGAAGTAAATAATCACATACCTCTGTATTTTCATAAAGGAAAAAAATTATCATAAAAGTATTTCAAAAATATCAGTACTTGCTTAGGGGAAGAAGGAGGCGAGACTGGAGATGGAGAGTGGATAGAAAACTTGGCATAAGAAGGGACATTTACGGCTGGGCATGGTGGCTTTCACCTGTAATCCTACCACTTTGGAAGGGCGAGGCAGGTGGATCACCTGAGGTCAGAAATTCGAAACCAGCCTGGCCAACATGGTGAAACCCCATCTCTACTAAAAATACAAAAAGTAGCCTGGTGTGGTGGCATGTGCCTGTAATCCCAGCTACCCAGGAGGCTGAGGCAGGAGAATCTCTGGAACCCAGGAGGCGGAGGCTTCAGTGAGCCAAGATCATGCCACTGCACTCCAGCCCTGGTGACAGAGAAAGGCCCTGTCTCAAAAAAAAAAAAAAAAAAAAAAAAAAAGAAGGGACATTTTAAGTTATGTCTTGAAAGATGAATAATTCACAGGAAATAATCAGCTCTTCCTTGGTATGAACAGCTGAAGGGTGAAGTGAGCCTGCATTGTCTATAGGGTGCGCTGAAGGTCCCACTGAAGGGTAGGATGGGAGAAGAATGGTAGAAGAGGGAGCTGGATATGCGAGCAGGAACCAAGTCAGAAAGAGGTTTGTATATGTTGATAAGGAGTTTAAACATCTTGTCAGCAGTAGTAAGTCACTAATGAAGAGTCATTAAAGAGATCCAACCAGGGTTTAGACTGCAGGGACAAAGGCAGTTTCCTGCAGCTGGTGTCCAGAAGGCAGAGAGAGGAGAGAAGCTAAGTTAAACCTAACCTGAAGACATAATTTATCCCACACTAAGTATCCTTTGAATTAAATGAAAACCTTTAAACTCTCTTAGGATTTTTCCATCCTCAGCCATAGTTAAACTATGAAATCGATGAATCAAAATTTCAATTGCTGTTTTACTCTTCTCTGTGGACTAAGTTTTTAGAATATGCTGTTTATTCTCTTTACCTTGATGTAGTCCTGTTCTCTCCTAGCTATCCTCCCGGCTGGATGTGCCATGGCATGTCTTACAGCAGTAATACATTACGTTAATAAAGCAATTATTTAATTGACTCTAATTTCATTGGCATTCCTATTAGCTAAAGGAAAGTGGTTCAATCACTGTTTACATTTGTAAAGCCAATATTATGGTTTAAATTATGGTCTTTGGATGAATTTGAAAATTGAAGCCTGATAATCCTTAAAGCAATATTTACAGAGGATTCTTTGTAAAGAATAAAGGGAATGGAAACAAGAGCACATTAAATCAGAGGGGCTTTTAAATATTCATTTTGCAATCAGCTTCACTGGTTTCCAGACCACTACCTAACTTTGTAATTCTTGTTGTAGAGGAATACCAAATCTCTTGCTTTAATTATCCTGTGAAATATGAACTGCTACTTCACATTCTCTTTTCTGATTCTAAAGTATAGGAGTTCCAGATATAATGCTCACAATGCAAATGCTCTTCCTTAATGGAAATACCTTGGGAGACATTGCTAAAATTAGTATTTCAAAAATGTAGACATTTTGGATAGGGTAGCTTCTGATTTAAAATGACTTCTGCTCAGCAGCTGTTAATAAATCTCTTTAAATTACCCAGTAAAATAACCATGAGAGTACTAAAAATGGTAAAAACTCACAACTCTGAAAACAGTGTATCAGTAAACCTGTTGTCAGTGGTTTTCCATGAACCACAAGTGGTGGAAGTGGTCTAAATAGCAGTGTCCTACTTTGAAGATGAATAACCCAGAGAGCCCAAATAATGGTTGGCCAAATATGCTGCAGCCTAAAAGAAAGTAAAATCACTCTGAAAAAAATAAAAACCACTGAAACATGTTTAATATGGGGACCAGACAAAAATATTTGAGTACTCTGTGACACTGAAAAAAAGTATGTAAGACTTAGTTAATTTCAAGAAAGATGAAAATAGATTTAAAGTTTTCAGGCAGATAAAAAATAAAGCAGGTTACCTAAAAAGGGACAAAAATTAGGCTGACCTTAAACTTCTCTGAAACATGAAATGCCATAGGATGATGGTTTCATATCTATAGCATTTTTAGCAAAAATAGTATGTAGATTCCCAAATACCCTTCAGCCAAAGTCCCCTTATGTTAACATCTTATGTAACCAAAGAATATTTATCAAAACTAAGAAATTAACCTTGGTTGTAGGTAATTCTGTTAACTAAAGTACAGAACTTTTTCAGATATCACCAATTTTCTATTATCATCCTTTTGTTTTCCAAAATCTCACATTACATTTAGTTGTCATATCTCTAGTTGCTTCCAATCTACGACAGCACAGGAGTCTTTGTTTTTCATGATCTTGACACTTTTGAAGGATACTGGTAAATTATTTTGTAGAATGTGCCTCAATTTTGGTTTGTAAGATGGTTTCTCGTGATTGGATTAAAGTTATGTGTTATTGAGGGGGAAACCACAGAGATGATGCACCCTTGTCAGTTTATTGTATCAGGGATCACATAATGTCCATTTGTCTAATTACTGGTGATGTTACCCTTGATCATTTGGTTGAGCTTGTATTTTTTAGGATTCTCCACTGTAAAGTTATTATTTTTCTTTTATAATTACTAAGTACTTTGGGGGAGATGCTTTGATATTATAAAAATATCCTATTTTTGCATAAACTTTTACCCACTAATTTTGCATCCATTGTGTGGCAATTGTTACCGTGTGGTGTTTTAATGATGATTTCTATTTCCTTTATTCCTTGTATTTATTAATTGTGATTATTATATAAGAAAGAATTGTCACTTCTCCCCAATTTACTCAGTTATTATTTATATTAGTATGGATTCATGTATATTTATTTTATTATTTGGTTATAATCCAATGCTATCATTACTTTGTTGCACAAGTTGTTCAACTTTGGCAATTGGTAACTTTTCCTGGGTGGCTCCTATCTGTTTTAATATGCTCCCATCGTTTTTTCTTTTCCTTTACTTCCTTACTTTCAGATGCTCCAGGCTCATATTGTATTATCCCTTCTCCAGCACCTAGAATCAGCTATTTCTCCAGATATTCCTGTTTCTTTTATTGGAGAAGGAATTTAGAAACCAAGATCTGTGTTCACTGCTACTGGGGTAGCTTCTAGCCTCTTTCAGTGACTAGAGTGAGGAAATATATGTGTGGTTACTAACTAATGCATACACACACATCAAAACCAAACAGTGTTTATGCACAGTTCTTTTGTTCTTCAGCCTTAAAGTATCCAGTCAAAACACTTCTTTCCAGAGTTTTGTAAGTCAGCTCCCTTTTCCCCCATTCCCTTCAATGTTGCTTTGTGATTTAATTGTAATATAGTTAGATTCCTTGTCACAGTCTGCATTCTATCTTTTCCTCCAAATCCTGGTTGATTTGTCGGTTGTTTTCCTACAAAAAAGTTCACTCTGTGTGTGTACAGTTCTATGTGTTTTGACAACTGTGTAGAGTCACATGTCCACCACTGCCTTCTCTGCAGAGCAATTTCATCACTCTCCAAAAGTATGAGTTACCCTTTTTTGGACAATCTCTCCTCTCATTCTCAACCCCTGGCAACCAAAGATCTGTTTTCCTGCCTATGCTTTTGCTTTGTTAAGAATATCATGTAAAATGAATTCACATAATATGTAGCCATTTGATTCTGTCTTCTTTCACTTAGAAAAATGTATTTTAAATTAATTCATGTTGTATAAATCAATAGTTTGTTCCCTTTTAGGGCTGAATGGCATATCATTGATATGAAATCACTTAAGGATATCTGGATTGTCTACAATTTCTGGTTATTGTGAATAAAGCTCTTATAAACATTCACATATTTTTATGTGAATATAAATTTCCATTTCTTTTAGGTACATAGCTAGGAGTAGGATAACTGGGTGATATGGTAGGTGTATATTTAACTTTTTAATACATGGCCAAAACATGTCCAAAAGTGGCTACACTATTTTGCATTCCCACCTGTCTATAGCATTGTAAGGAGAAAATTGGTAGCCTAAGAATTTTATGCCCTCTTAAATGTTGTTTGTGTGTGATGGCAGCAGAATTCTCAGTTATTCAATAATTCAAAATTTATATCACCAAACATCCTTCTTGAAAAAAATTATTTAAAGTCATACTGTAGCTAGTTGAGAGAGAAATCAAAATTAAGAAGTCAAAAGAACCCATTTCTAAGAAAATCTTAAGGGGAAAAAATGAAGAAGGAGACTTCCTTCTCATAAAAAAGGATACCTAAGAAGACAGATCACATCATATAATATTAATAGTAAAGCCAGAACTCTCATTAAAATCAAGGGGGGACAGAATTCCCAATCTCCTCCTTATTTAACTGTATTCTAAAATTTCTGGTTAGTGCAATAAGACACAAATCAGAAATAACTGATAGAAAGGACTAACTGATGGACAGGAAAAGAGAAAAAAGGTTAGTAATTGCAGAGAATGTTTCTTAGAAAACCCAAAAATGCCAAGTCAAATCCTCTTAAATATAAATTAGTAAGGCTATGGAATACTAGAAAAATACCAAAAAATATCAATATCCCAGCAAGAAACAGAGGAGATGATAGGAAAATCTTATATGAATAACAGCAACATACACACCATAAAATTTCTAGGAATAACCCTAACTAAAATATGCAGGATCAGAAAACTGTAAATCTTATTGAAATATGGAAGACTTGGATACTGACTTTTACAATACTGCCATTTATTAATTCATTCATTTGATTACTTGTCCAAAATTTGTCTTTGCCACTGGTATACGTTCCATAAGAGAAGGGACAGTAATTGTCATATTTACTGTCTTATCCCTTATGCCTAATATATTGGCTGACTCATAGTAGGAACTCAAAAATATGTATTTCTACACACTAATATTTTATTCAGTTATCTGTTCTACAATGTTTTAATAGCTTATAAGACTTACTCACTTAGTAGCTTAGTAGTTTTTGAAAGGAGTCTAGACTAGTTAATTACCATTGCCTAACAAATTATAATACGCAGCCATTCAACCACAGGCAGCATTAAGGCTCCTGGTTTGAAGTGTAGATACCCACAGTCCTGCATTATGATTTTTCTTCACTTTCCCACTCCAATATTAATACATTCCACAACAGTAGGAATTTCAAAGCTTAGAGGAATTTAGGGGGTTTTAGAAGTGGCTGTTCTCTATGAAAAGTGTGATTTTACTTCCTCATTTCAATTTTTAGATCTCTCAGGAAATGCCAGGTTAGTAGCAAATGAATGGGAATGGACTACAAATTATAGTTATTAAAAAAAGAAGAACCCATAAAAGACCCACAGAATCTAGGAGCAGGTTAAAATGAACTATTTGACAGTATGCAATCTGAGTCACTTATCTGGAATCTTTCTGCTTCCATGTAATATAGAATTTAAAGTTAATGATGCTTCCCAGGATTCCATTGCTCAATGGCTTAGTTTCATTTTATAATTAGGTTAACATTTTTCTTTATAATATTTGATTGGTGACATTTTTCTAGATTTTAAAAATAATGAAATGATATTGTAACATTGGTTAAAGTTGACCTAATATCTAAACCACAGCTGAATTTTCCACATAAAGCATTTTCTTGATTATTCCTATCATTTTCCAATGTTTTATTATCTGTGGTGTGCATTGGTGTTTTTGTGTGTTTGCTCGGGGTGGGGATACTGTGTAGTAATTTCCCTGTTGTGCTTTTAAATAGGAACTTTCTAGGAACACTAGCAATGGTAATGTCATAGTTACTTACTGAGAGAACTAACCTGAATTCTATGGAGGTATACTGAAGTTTTGGGAAAATGAAATTAGAGATGCAGCATATCTCAGCAGTAATGAATCTGTTTCTGTTGTATAAAACAGGGTTAGGTTGTTCTTCTTAAAAGCAGTTTTTCAAACTTGGTACTTTTTACTGGTCAAGTGTTTATTCCATTGGGTCATTAATCTGTTATATTCCCAAAGTACTCTTTGGGTATAGTTCCTGTTCTAGCTAATGTGAAAGAAGCATTGGTCTATGGCAGATTTTTTTTATGCTTTTTAATGATAATTTTGAATTGTTTAGGTAAGACCCTCTTGAGTATCTCCTAGTGCTTATAAATGAAAAGAGCTAGTAAAGACCTTGTTTATAATGACTGACTTTACAACAAAGTTGGGCATATTAATCAACAATAGACACTGTCAGTTCTATTGCATATTACTAGACTGATGGGGGTGTCTCCACCTGTTTTCTGTTGTTACAACAGAATACCTGAGCCTGGGTAATTTACAAAGAAAAGAGGTTTCTTTAGTTCATAATTCTTCTTGCTAGAAGGTTTAAGATTGGGCAGCTACATCCAGTGAGGGCCTCATGCTGCTTCCACTCATAGCAGAAAGTGGATACATGCAAAGAGATCACATGGTGAGAGAGCAAGCAAGAGAGAGAAACCAGGGAGGCCAGGCTCTTTTTTAAAAACCTGCTCTTGTGGGAAGTAATCCATTCTAATGAGAGTGAGAACTCACCCTTGCAAGAGAGCATTAATCTATTTCTTGAGGGATCTGCCCCCATGACCCAAACACCTCTCAACAGGCCCTACCCCCAACACTGCCACATTGGGGATCAAATTTCAACATGGGTCTTGGCAGGAGCAAACCACAGCAAGGGGATTTAGCAATAAAAAAATTTAATAAATTTGATACGGAATTCAGAATTGTAATACAGTAGCAGAAACACATCATAAAAATTTAGACATCAATGAGGATAACCTTTGAATGTCAACTGCTTATAAATGAATTAGACTTGCTGCATTTTGGCTAAATTTATAGGTTATGGCAAATAAGATGGGAGGGGGCAAGACAGAAGAAACTAGAATGATTTTGTTTACTAAATATCTCAATGTCAACTGTTATTTTTAATGCTTCCTAGATATTTCCCTAAAAATATGAAATTTATTCAACCTAAATTCACGTAAATATAGAAGGAAATTCTTTAACTTGATCAATTAATGAACTTCTTTTGGAAATTAATTTTAACATTAGTCAACTGTTACATTTGAAGTTAGAATTTAAATAAGGGAGAGAAACTTAGAACAGGAGAATACAGGGGAATGCTGTAAGGCTGTGTAGGTGAGAAAGAAGGCTCTCCAAAGTCATAAGGCCTTCTTCCAAGATACTGAGTAGTTGTGCTGGATTATTCTCTTGGGAGTCATAGAAAGAGGTAACACAGTACTTGACTTTCTCTGATGCCAAAAAGCTCTGGAACTGTCAGTCAGAATTTTCTGTATATGACAATAACTGTGGTGCACTCACTGCAAAAATAAAACATTATTAGACGTAATCACACCTTTAGCTGTGATGACAGATGTTAAAATGACTATAAGCAGTTAAAGGGGAAACAGGTCACAGACAGTTATCTGGAAGCAATGAGACAAGGATGTTTGAAGAAATAACCTATTATCTGGAGAATGATAGGATTTTAGGATATGAGAGATAATGGGTGAGCTAATTGGGAAGACAAAACAGCAGGCCAATTTCTAATTAAATTGACAGCATATGTAGGATTTCATTCAGGGAAAGTACCAGTGATCTGAGATGGGCCACCATTTGCTCCATGCAATTCTGCAATGAGAGTGCTGCTGGAAGATGCCTCATAAAGAAGGGCTAGAAACATGGCATAGCTTTTAGGGGCAAGACTTTTTTTCACTGCCTATCAAGATAAATACCATACCAATGATGTGTTCATCCACAATATGGTAATGAAATAGGAAGAGGGCATCCAGGGTGATAGCTGTGAGAGTGAGTCAGTGTATAAATTCTGCTTAGGAAGGAAGATGTTTAAATTTGAAAAAAAATCCATAAGTATTAAAGGGTATTCTTGCTGCCTTCCTATTGTGACACTCATCTGACTAAAAGATAAATCAAACGGAATGGACTGATAGGGTTGGTAACTGGATGTGGTAGGAAGAAAGCTGAATAAATTAGCAAAGGACAGAGTTTTTTTTATTTAAAAGGGTTATAGTTTTCAGATGTTGTTTGACCTCTTAAAGGGGGATAAGCTTGATATTTTTAAAGCAATACTTACATCTGAAATAGTATCACGTACATTTTTAGCTAGTACTCAAACAAGTTCCATATTCTATATAAATGGGGAAATGTAATTCATAATTGACAAGGTATGAATTTTTTACACTTTAAGCCATGAGATTGCCACATCAACAAATGTAATTCCTTAGCAAATATGTCTTATGTTTATATTTATGAAATGTACACAATTGACGCAGAACCCAAAAGGGAATAAGTAAGCATTTTAAATATATATATATATTTACTTGGATTTGCAAACTCCGTTCTGGAAAACATTTATTAAATGAGAAACAAGGAAGGAATGCAAGCAAAATGTGCTTAGAGTCTCAATTTATCTTGGACTTGGTGTTACTTTTCTGGATTTTTCCAAAGCTTAGACTTCCATTGGTTAAAGTGTTGGCCTTTGCTTTGTTTTGTTTTTGTTTTTAACTTACAGAGTACTAGTCTCAAAAGTGGAAATGATAAACTATTAAAACTTCAAATTTATCTATGGGAGCCCCACAGTGCAGTGGTGATTTCATGTTAAATATTTTAAGTTGAAACAGCAAGAAAGAGATCAAGCGAAGTATCTTAGAAAGAGAGACAAGGTCTGGATACGTGATGTATTCCACATTTCATGCAGCTATTGAAAAGGGCAACACAGCTTGCCTAAGGGCCATAAAATGAGTACAGTTGGAGAGTCCAGGCTCCAGAATGAAAACTAGCAGGTTGTGATGATTTGTAGAGGTGTGTATGTAAGCATGTCCAGGAAGCTCTATGTTGCTTTCCCTGTTCTGAGGCTTGCCCTGCCCACATAAGGGTCTCTACTTCACTTCTCTAAGTGTGGTGGATTGTATTTTCTAAAGATGATGGCAGCAGTACACCTACCCACCCATATACTATTTTAAAACCTTGCCATGCCCCCATCAAGAGGTGGAGCCTCGTTTTCCTCCCCTTGAATCTGAGAGCTGATGACTCCTTTGTAACCAATAGAATACTATAGAAGTGGTACTATATGAATTTCAAGGCTGGACCATAAAAAGCAGTGCAGCTTCTGAACTGAGACACTGCTCTTGGAACACTGAGCTGTTAGGTCAGAAGTCCAAACAACGGGGAGCTGCCATGTTATGAGGAAGCCCAGGCCATATGGAAAGACTAAGTGTAGATTCTCCTGGTGACCATGTTAGCTGAGGGTCCCTCAGATAGCCAACATCACCCACTAGATATGTGAATAAAGATGCCTCAGATGAGTGTCTCCCAATCTTTGAATCTCTTTCAGACATCCTGGAGTAGAGACAAACTCTTCCCACTGTGACCTTTCCAATGGCTTTATTGTGCAATAGTAACTGTAACATTAAGAGAAGTATTAAGCAGAAACCCTGAGAAGACAGCCAGGCATCTTTTCTCACTCCCTAGTTTCCTATGGTATTTGCCCTGGTAACAGCATCTTTTCTCACTCCCTAGTTTCCTATGGTATTTGCCCTGGTAACAGAAAGAGCATGATATAGAAGTGTCGCTAATTGTCTCACACTTGCTTAATCTATTTTTATAAATTAAAATAGTTATTTTCTGTAAATTATTCAATAATTTAACTTTATTACTAAAAATAATAGCTTCATATCTAGAAAGCAAGGTATTATGAGGGACAGTAAAATACCAACCCTGATTTATGAGGTATCTCTCATGTGCCAAGCACACTGCCAAATCTTTTCCTAAATTACCTTAATCTTCACAATAACCTTACAAATTAGGTATTATGATCCTTATTTGAAGATGAAAAAACTGAGGCCAATATGAGGTTAATTTACATTACTCAAGATCAGCATAGTGAATCTAACCTGGCTCTAAAATTTCATACACCTTCTACCACATTGCATTTGAGCAACGAAAAGCAGACCGTAAGTATAGTAGGTCCATAGATGTTAGTTCAAAGCCAAAAAAAAAATCATGAGTCAAACAAAATTCTAGAAACAATCATTTACCTAAATATTGATAAGCCTTCTAACTTAAAGAAGCTTGCTCTCTATATATTGCCAGACAAAACTGTGGGTCATTTTGACTACAAACATATGAGATACTGTGAGCCAGAACTAACCAACTAAGTCACTCAAAAACTGTGTGAATCAATAAATGTTTATTGTTTTAAGCTGCTGAGTATTTAGGGGATAATCTGTTAAGCAGTAATGAATAACTAATACTTAGTCTATGAGATCTCTCTGCAGTCAATCTGTATGTAGCCAGTCAATAGCTCTGCATTCTGAAGTTACACTATATAAGCAACTATCCATACATTTTGCAAAACTGATAGTTCTGACCCTAAGCCCTGGGGCCATCAGTCTATTATAGCAGCTAGTATGACATGGTTATAATGAATTTCAGACAAGTAATCAAGGGTCCTGAGTTCAAGTCCAAGATTGACCAGTGACAAACTGTACTCTCTGGGCATCAGTTTCTGTAAAATGGAGGAGTACACAGAAGATCTCTAATACTTTTTCCACTCTAATTTACTTTAATTCTATAATTGTTATCTTCATATAATTATTTCCATCTGTTTTATTATTATATGTCTTTTAACTCTAAAGCAAAATATTTCCCCAACGTCTGAGAATCTCATGTCACTATCTTCAGCGTGGAATCCTAATGAGACATTCAATGTTCAAATACATTGAGGCGCATTATCATGTATCTTTTTTGTTTTTTTCTCTGCATATACTAGGATGTCTTAAGGATCCTTCTGTTTTATCTGCACTCTCTCAGTATCTTCTACCAAAAAAGGGGGATAAGTGCATTTCTTTCACTTATTTTCATTGGCTACAGTAAATCATCACATTGCCACTACCACCTTCAAGGGAACAGGAAAGAGTCCAGAAAGAAGAGAATTACAATAATGGCAAACAATCTTAATTAAACAATCTTAATTATGGAGGTATTAATTAAATACCTCCATAATTAGTAAAATACATGCATGGGTCAAGAAAGTTTTTAAAGCTAGATTTTGTTTTGAAAAAAAGTTAATTCTGCTGACATTTTCCTGAAGATGGGTCATTCACTTAACAAATATTTATTGGGTACCTATTACTTGCCAAACAATGTTCCAGGCACTAAGGACAATGTGGTAAACATGATAAACAAGGTCTCTACCCTCATACAACTTACATTCAAGTTGATATCAAAGTTATTTTACAAAAATTCAAAGGCATTTGCACTCTGTATTAGTCTGTTTCCACACAGCTGATAAAGACATACCCGAGACTGGGAAGAAAAAGAGGTTTAATGGACTTACAGTTCCACAAGGCTGGGGAGGCCTCACAATCATGGTGGAAGGAGCAAGTCACGTCTTACAAGGATGGCGGCAGGCAAAAGAAGAGCTTGTACAGGGAACCTCCTGTTTTTAAAACCATCTGACCTTGTGTGAGACTCATTCACTATCATGAGAACAGCATAGGAAAGACCTGCACCCATAATTCAATCACCTCCCACCAAGTTCCTCCCATGACATGTGGGAATTGTGGGAGTTACAATTCAAGATGAGATTTGGGTGGGGACACAGCAAACCATATCACACTCCTATCAAAATTTCAGTCCACTGATGTTGGTGCTGGTTCTGAATGATTCAGAGGGATTTTTGGCTCCTTAGGCCACTCTTTTTGTGTAATTTAATGCTTCTGTTTACCAAATCATTTGACCTTTCTGACCCATCAAAACATAGTGAGATGAAAGCATGTCATATTCCATGAATGATGTGATGAGCACACATTCCATGTAAAATTCAGTTCTTTTGTTCAAGAGTGCTCTTCTCCCAATTCCTTGGGGCTGGTATGATAGGCAGAAAGATCACTTTGTGATCCAGGGCCTGTTTTGTGACATTGGAAGTTACTTACTTCTCTAAGCCTCAGCTCCCCATAATCCCCCAACATTGTAGTGTTTTGTAAGCTTTGAATGAAGCTTTCATTTTCATTTTGTTCCAGCTTTCTTCCTTTTGGCCTATCTTGGGAATAGTTACAGTCTATATGTACAGCAGACTGTCAGCCTTCTAGCCACATTACCTGCCTACTTGATGCCACTGAGCCAGACTTGCCTCTCAACCTCCTTGATGCAGCATGAACTTGGAGAAAGCAGTACTTCTCGTTAGTTCCCCCAGGAGTAAGGAAAGGAATAAAAGAATGGGTCTCATCATCCCCAAGTAGCAAAAATGATAATAAGTATTTTGAGACATTCCTAATCTGCCACCACTGTGAAAGTAATGTTTTCTCAAGTGGATCTGAAACTCCATGAGAGTAGTTCATGTTTCACTATTGTTTTCGTTTTGTTTTGTTTTGTTTTGTTTTGTTTTTTTGAGATGGAGTCTTGCTCTGTCGCCCAGGCTGCAGTGCAGTGGCGTGATCTTGGCTCACTGCAAGCTCTGTCTCCTGGGTTCACGCCATTCTCCTGCCTCAGCCTGCAGAGTAGCTGGGACTACAGGCACCCGCCACCATGCCTGGCTTATTTTTTGTATTTTTAGTAGAGACGGGGTTTCACCGTGTTAGCCAGGATGGTCTTGATCTCCTGACCTCGTGAACTGCCCGCCTCGACCTCCCAATCACTATTGTTATATGAAACATAGAGACTTAGAGAGAGATAGCTTACGTGGGAGATGTACCCTTATGGGTAAGAGCATTAGCTCTGGATCCAGTTGCTTGGGTTAGAATCCTGGCTGCACCACTGACCAGGGACTTTGGGTAATTCCTGGTCTGTAGCAATAATAATAGTTAACCCATCTCATAAAATTGTGAGGGCTAAATGAATTGATATATGCAAAGTACTCAGAATAGAGCCTCAAAGAAATTGCAGTTGCTAAATAAGTATTAGCTGTTATTACTGATATTATTACATGCTCCAAACCCCTACAGTGCTCCGAACATAGTCATTCAGTAAATAATTGAATTCCTGAAAGAATGAAAGGAATGAACTTTGGGATCTTTATGAATATGAACATATAGGCAGTGACTCGATGAAGAGTAAAGGCACCATCAACCATACAAAGTTGTCATTTTCTCCTGAATTCTAGATCTTTTTTTTTTTTTTTTTTTCTGTCACCCAGGCTGGACTGCAGTGGCACCACCTTGGCTCACTGTAACCTCTGCCTCCCGGGCTCAAGTGATTCTCCCGCCTCAGCCTCCCAAAATGCTGGGATTACAGGCATGTGCCACCATGCCCCGCTAATTTTTGTATTTTCAGTAGAGACAGGGTTTCACCATGTTGCCCAGACTGGTCTTGAACTCCTGACCTCAGGTGATCCACCTGCCTCAGCCTCCCAAAGTGCTGAGATTACAGGCATGAACCATTGCACCCTGCCAGTTTTAAATTTTTTAACTTCTTAGTCAATTTCAATCAAAATATGAGTCAGGCCTATATTTCAAATCCTTTTCTAAACACAATATTACTGTTAGTTGGAATGACAGAATTGTAAACAGGCTCTTTAGCTAATAGACTGTGTGTTTCTAAATGATACTTTTATTCAGATTCTCATTTCCAGAAGAGGTTAGTGCATGGTTGGCCTTGTGACAACTGTGTTGTCTAAACAATTGGTTTTGTCTTTACACAGGCTAGTAAAATCACCCTCAATTTTTGATAACTTTAGATTTGTAAATATGTAATCCTTTTCTTGATGAAAAAGGAAATGTTTTTATCATTTTTAGAGCAAGAGCAGTATTGCTTGACACAGTTTAAGTATCTTTTAATGTAACAGTTAAATATATGGAATAAACACCAAGTGTCTATAGAGCATAGTCCATGAAAATTTCCAGATATATCAAGTTTAACAGGAAAAAAATACACCTTTTCTTTTGATTCATTAAATTATACCTTACTCTGAAGAAAATCAGCAATATGGTTCTGGCAGTATATAGTAGTCCTGACACTTCTCTTAGTAAGGGACATTTTTCTACCTCACCACTAAATGCTGGACAAATAGTATGACCTTGGCCTTCTATCTAAACTCTTAAAATTGTTTAAGATCCACTGGTGGAAATGAAGTCTCTAAGGAGATGTGGATGATTTACTGATAACAGAAAAGGTTCAGATTCCATTACTACTGATGGCTGTGCTTCCGTTTATGTTTTCCCTAAGCCATAACTATTTAAAATGTTACTGTTAGCATTCTTATTTGTCTCATTTGTTGGTATATAACTCTCCTACTTAAATATATAGAACAAATCATATTAATTAAAATAAATTGCTTGGACAGTTAAGTTGTCCTGCAGATTGTCTCCGAAGGCTATAAATTCAGATTAAGGGTTTTGTTGCTTGTTCCTGAGCTTGGAAAGATTCCTTTTACTGCATTAGTAGTAGCTCAAGAAATCAACAACCTTGCAAAAGAACAGTCATTTGAATTCTTGCAGAAATAGCTGGATAAACTGCATATATAGCTAGTTATCATAATCATATAACAAAATCTTGGCTTAAGCAAGCAAACAAATTACTAATTCATGATGGCAAGTGTTGATATATAATAGTATTGAGTTTGGACATAATTATATGTATTTCTATGTATTTTAAAAATATACATTTATGTATGTTTATATCTATTATATTTATTTCTATGTATTTCTATATATTTTATTATATATATATTAAATTGGGTTTCGGGGGTTCTAAGTAGTGTACCATAGTAGCAAATTGTGAGATATTTTTGTAAAATAAACAAATAAACTTCATTTTCTGGATATTAAAGCATTCAATTAGGTCAAAATAAATTGTGGGGAGTGGGAATAACTTACTCTGCCTATTTCAAGAAAAGCCTATGTTTTGTAACTTCTAAAGGCAAAGATGTGACTACCATTTATAGTATTCTATAAAAATTTAATGTCCTTTGCATTTCATGGAACCTCTGTAATATTAAAAAAGAATAGCCCAATCTATCATTAAATTTGAAAATAAAGTAGAACAAATAAATTATATTCTTAACTTTTATTTGACCTTTTAGTGTGGGTATATTTCCTTTTACCTACTTAAGGAAAATTAACATTTTCCTTTTTCCTACTGGAGTTTCCCCAAAACTAATACACCTTAATTAGCTTGAGGAAATAACTAAAGTGAAGTAGAAATAAGGTTGTAAAGATCTCTCTGATCTCTTAGCAAAGTGAGATTTTTGCCATCCATTTATTCCCAAAAGCTGCTACTGAAAACATGTAAGGCCTTGTAACTCCCTTATAAAACCCCTGCTATTTAACTACTTTAGAGATTCAGTACAAAGTTCAGAGGAAAACAAAACTATTAAAGTGTTGAAAATTACAACCTATACAGAAATTTTAAACAACTCTATTTTTGAGAAGATAAATCAACTTTCGAGTTACCTAAAAAGAACAATGTTGATTTCTCAATTTCTGCTAACGTATGCTAAAGGGGATGGACTGAAACTATGCATATTTCTTAAAACATGGGTTTTAAAACATTAGGCAAAAGCTTTTGTGGATTTTCATCATCCGGAGAACGTATCAGAAAGAGGGTAGGTCTCATCCGATTACCTGTCTTCAAGGGAAGAAACTGACGTTAATCCTATGGTTTTTCTTGGGGTGAGGAGGGGGGTGTAATGGAGTTACTAAAAAATTGTGCCATTTAAATTCAAGATGAATATTCTGGTTTGTAATGGATTTCCCACTACTATTCCTGAATCATAATACTCATAACGTTATTCTCAAATACAGGATAGTTTTATATCTGTCCCTTCTCTAAGGCTTTTGCTTTGGGACTATAGAACATCATATTCTATAGTTTCCAATCTTACCATATAATTTAATAATGATTTTATTACTCAAAAAAAGTTATACTGCTTTCTGTCATTAATGTTGCTGCCTTTCCAATGAGTCAAGAAGGACATGAGCACTTTGGGAGGCTGAGGCAGGTGGATCACCTGAGGTTAGGAGTTCAAGACCAGCCTGGCCAACATGGTGAAACCCCGTCTCTACTAAAAATACAAAAATTAGCTGGGCATGGTGGTGCGTGCCTGTAATCCCAGCTACTCAGGAGGCTGAGGCAGGAGAATGGCGTGAACCCGGGAGGCGGAGTTTGCAGTGAGCCGAGATCATGCCACTGCACTCCAGACTGGGTGACAGAGCGAGATTCCATCTCAAAAAAAAAAAAAAAAAAAAACAACCAAGAGGAAGGACATGAATTATTTCCTAAGGCTACCCCCAGATTGCTTCATGAGGCAAGGAAGAAATACCTGAATTACGTATTTCCTGCCAACAAATTACTAAAATGAAGCCTAAGAAAACAGCACTGATGCCTTTTATTACCACTGACATTTCATACTAAACTGAAATACTGTACACAATCTTTAAAGGATTTTGAATATGGATTTAGAATAATTATTTAGTTCAGTCCATATAATGAACGCTCTCTGTCTGAATGATCTCCCTGAGGACAAAACCATATTCAGCTCTTCTCACTACTGTTGCCTAGCACAGTGGTTTTTTGTTTCGTTTTGTTTTATTTTGTTTTTTAATTTTTGTGGCTACATAGGTGTATATATTTATGGGGTACATGAGATGTTATGATACAGGCATGTAATGTGAAATAAGCACATCATGGGGAATTGGTATCCATTCCCTCAAGCATTTATCCTTTGAGTTACAAACAATCCAATTACACTCTTAGTTATTTTAAAATGTACAATTAAGGTTTTATAAACTATAGTCACAATATTGTGCTATCAAATAGTAGGTCTTATTCATTGTTTCTAACTAGTTTTTGTACCCATTAACTATACCCACCTCACCCTCAGCCCCTCACTACTCTTCCCAGCCTCTGGTAACCATCTTTCTACTCTCTATGTCCATGAGTTCAATTGTTTTGATTTTTAGATACCACAAATAAGTGAGAACATGTGATGTTTGTCTTTCCGTGCCTGGCTTATTTCACTTAACATAATGATCTCCAGTTCCATCCGTGCTGTTGCAAATGACAGGATCTCATTCTTTTTTATGGTCAAATATTACTCCATTGTGTATATGTACCACATTTTCTTTATCCATTTATCTATTGTTGGACGCTTAAGTTGCTTCCAAATCTTTGTAAGCAGTGCTGCAATGAACATAGGAGTATAGATATCTCTTTGATATGCTGATTTCCTTTCCTTTGGGTATATACCCAGCAGTGGGATTGCTGGATCATATGGTAGCTCTATTTTTAGTTTTTTGAGGAACCTCCAACTGTTTTCCTTAGGGGTTATATTAATTTACACCCCCACTAACAGTGTACAAGGGTTCCCTTTTCTCTATATCCTCGCCAGCATTTGTTATTGCCTGTCTTTGGGATATAAGCCATTTTAACTGGCATGAGATGATATCTCATTGTAATTTTGATTTGCATTTCTCTAATGATCAATGATGCTGAGCACCTTTTCATATACCTGTTTGCCATTGGTATGTCTTTTGAAAAATTTCTATTCAAATCTTTTCCATCTTTTGATCAGATTATTAGACTTTTTTTCTGTAGAGTTGTTTGAACTCCTTATATATTCTGATTATTAATCCCTTTTCAGAAGAGTAGTGTGCAAATATTTTCTCCCATTCTGTGGGTTGTCTCTTTGCTTTGTTGATTGTATCCTTTGCTGTCCAGAAGCTTTTTAACTTGTTTTGATCCCATTTGTCAATTTTCGCTTTGGTTGCCTGTGCTTGTGGGGTATTGTTCAAGAAATCTTTAGCCAGACTAATGTCCTGGAGATTTTCCCCAATGTTTTCTTGTAGTAGTTTCATAGCTTGAGGTCTTATATTTTATGTCTTTAATCCATTTTGATTTGATTTTTTTATATGGCGAGAGATGGGGGTCTAGTTTCATTCTTCTGTATATGAATATCCAGTTTTCCCAGCACCATTTATTGAAGAGACTGTCTTTTCCCCAGTGCATGTTCTTAGAACCTTTGTTAAAAATGAGTTCACTAAGGCCGGGCACGTGTGGCTCACACCTGTAATCCCAGCACTTTGGGAGGCTGAGGCAGGCAGATCACGAGGTCAGGAGATGAAGACCATCCTGGCTAACACGGTGAAACCCCATCTCTACTAAAAATACAAAAAATTAGCCGGACGTGGTGGCACGCGTCTGTAGTCCCAGCTACTCAGGAAACTAAGGCAGGAGAATCACTTGAACCTGGGAGGCAGAGGTTGCAGTGAGCCAAGATCGCTCCACTGCACTCCAGCCTGGGCAACAGAGTGAGACTCTGTCTAAAAAAAAAAAAAAATAAGTTCACTGTAGGTGTGTGGATTGTTTCTGAGTTCTCTATTCTGTTCCATTAGTCTATGTGTCTTTTTTATGCTAATACCATACTGTTTTGGTTACTATACCTCTGTAATATAATTTGAAGTCAGATAATATGATTCCTCCAGTTTTGTTCTTTTTGTGTAGGATTGTTTTGGCTATTTTGGCTCTTTTGTGGTTCCATATAAACTTTAGGATTGTTTTGTTTTATTTCTATAAGGAATGTCATTGGTATTTTGATAGGGATTGCACTGAATCTAGATTAGCTCAATGTTTTAAACCCAGCAGGCTCTCAAATGTTTGCTAGATAAATAAGCAAGTTAATTACATATGGCAAAACTCTGTTCTAAAATGTGACTCATTGTGATACATATTAAATAGAATACAAACTAAGGTTGATCTCTCAAAACATAAGCTATACATGCTAAAGTTCAATATAACAAGTAATTTTTAAGGCCTTCTAATTTCATTCTTATAACAAGAGTCCATTACAATTAATTTCCTACCATTACCATTTATTGAGACAGTTTCCCAGAGTTTATGCTCATTTGGGTCAGTCTTCTATTTATTCTATATATACAACACCATATTTTAAGAAATGGTATAATCTGAAAGTGTTGTCTGAGTCATGAAAGATAAATTTAAATTGATTTAGTTAGTATTATGTATTTTGATCCCTTAAAAATTGAGGACCTAAATATTGTTATACTCAGTTAATTACATTAACCAGAATGGAAACGTGAATGGTTATATTTTACTGATGACTAAATTAAGAGGGCTTTGCTGATTTATACAGTTTCTCAGAATTAACTATAATAACATCCTCTTTACATCAAAGCTGGTTATGATAATTAAAATGACAGCCCTTTTTTGATAGTTCTACTCTATGCCTTTGAGGAGCTCCTAAACTGATAGAAGAAGCAAGGCAATCAACAACCAGAGACCCAAGTGAGATGATGATATAAAGTTACATACTAAAGAAAAAAGTGGTGGTAAAGAAAGTCGGAAGAAGGAAAAGGTTATTGGGATCAATCAAATTAAATTAAACATTTAGTTTTTGGTGTCACATCACCAGAAATTAAATGTTTAAATAGTGACCTACAAAAGGTCTCATTCCAGTGTGATATGTGACCTAAATTAAGTACTTTGCTAAGCAAAGTTTGTTTAAAGCCTTTTTACATTGGTCAAAAATACTAGTCAGGTACCAAATAACTGAAATTACTGAATATCTTTTTTCTTTATACCACTATCTCATTTTTAAAAAGGTTGTGAGTATAGTTAGTAAATAAATGAACTTGCAGGAAGTTGTTGCCTTTTGGTAAGGTCACTGAATTTTAGACTTTAAGAAACAAATAGTGATACAAAAACTAAGGATGGGTAAATTGATTTTAATGCTCTAAGAGCCATCATATTCATCATTCATAAAATTGACAAATAATACCTTTTGAGATATCAGCTACTACTCAATACTGGTAGTGAAAAGTTATTATTTCTTCATTCCACCCAAGAATAACATAGTAACACTTGAACTTCTAACACATACCAATCAACAGATATCTTGCCAGTGCTTAAAAGGTACAGATTACAGTGTACAAAACACTAAACTATTAGTTATTTGAAATATGCTACTTGAGCCAAACTAAGATATTTGTACATTGTAAGGGGTGGGAAGCACTTGAGTAGGGGACAGAACAGGTTTGTTTTTTTGTTTGGGAGAAGAAATAACATGACATCTATCTGCAATTTCTCTGAATCATGGAGAGCCAAGTAATGTTATTATTCTGTGATCATTAAATAGCATAACCAGACCAGGAATGGTAGCTGACACTTATAATCCCAATGCTTTGGGATGCCAAGGCAGGAGGATTGCTTGAGGCCAGCCTGGGCAACAAAGTGAGACCTCTTCTCTACAGAAAAATGCTTAAAAAAAAAATAGGTGGCCACGGTGGTGCACACCTGTAGTCCTAGCTACCTGGGAGGCTGAGGCAGGACAATCGCTGGAACCCAGCAGTTTGAGGCTATAATGAACTATGATCATGCCACTGCACTCCAGCCTGGGCAACAGAGTGAGACCATGATTCTAAAAAAAAATCATAACCAAATACTTTCTGAATTTGCTTCCAATTGCGTTCCCTGGAGAAAGTTTTCATAGAAAAGTAACCATCTATTCCAGATGTCCTGTGTCCTACCCTTCTCTATCCTTATCATTTATATCTCTGGAAATGATAAGTAACCTATAGATTCTTTAAAAGTATCAAGTTAAGAAGGATGTAAATGCTGAGAAATAAGACGAAGCAGAGATTGTATGCAGGGCAAGCCATACTGGTGTCATTTAGAGGCTGAATCAAGAACAGAAGAATCCACTCTTCCTACACTTTCCAATGCTTACTAAAAGCTGAATTAAGTGGCCTCAGCTTGGGTGGCATTTTCTTGCTTCTAACAACATAACTTGAGCAGCAGCATTTAAAATATCCTCACTCTGCCATGTTTATTAAAAGCAAATGATAACAAAGATGACATGAATGTGAAAAGGTCAATTTCTGTGTGTTTGTTTTTGCATTTGTCATATTATAAGAGAAAACTGTTAATAGTTGATAAATATGTTCAAAAACATTCCTGAGGCTCATAAAAATAAATCCATCTCTTTTCTATTTGAAAAAGAAAATATGTTATTTCAAATAAAATATTTGAAACAAAAGCTACAGATAACGAAGTCTTCTTCAACAAACTGCAAGTATAGATGAAAAGATACATGTGAAAAAAAATTTAATGCAACAATGAAATAACAGCTCAAGAAAGTAATAGAAAAGATGTAACAAAGCAGTATGTGGTTAATTGACCAAAATTGACCTAATATCCATAAGCACAGACATTAGATACTATAGGACTCAAAGGAAAAGGATGATCACACATTAGTCTTAGGTAGTTGGGAAGTTCTCCATGAAAAAGGTGGGCTGTAGACTGGGTCTGAAGAAGGATGAGCAGGTTTGGGGTAGGTGGAAAGGCATTTCATGTGGGTGGAACAGCAAAAGTAGAAGTGCAAACACAACTGGGAAAACACAATGCGTGAGAAAATAAGGAAAATAATTTTCTCCCTAGGGGAGGTAGTAGCAGCTAAACAGAACTGCTGCTACCAAGCTAGAACAATAAAGACTTTAAACTCTCTAGGCAGGGCAGTCATTGCTGGTTTGATGTAGCAGTAGCGTGAGTCTTTGGATCTGGATATCTGGAGATTATCGCACTGTCCAGACACTGAAATCATGTGTACCTGTGGACTAATGGCAGTGGGGTATGCATGAATGTGAGAATGTTTGCAGAGTAAGTTGTCTCTTAACTGGTGACAGACTGTGTGAACAAGATTGGGAGTCGTGGCATAAAATACTTTGTGAACAACAATTGGATATGTGGGGCTTTCCAAGGGAGAAGAGAAGATGGTCTAGGACTGATCCTGAGAAAAGCTCACATGTACAGAACAGCAGAAAGAAGGAAACAGAGACATTACTTTCCCCTCTGATTTGAACCTCCCTCTGAAAAACCAGTCTGCACTGTACAATGTGGAGAGACAGACAACAAGGATTTTTCTTGAAGAATAAAATCCAATATGACTTTACTCTTCACTGTTTGGACTCTGTGTTATTGAGGGAGAAGGGGGTAATGGTCAGTTTGAATAATTTAAATATACAGACATATATTATATATTAAATATACATACATGTATATAGTAAATATACATACATACAGTATATATTTAATATACACACATACAGTATATATTTAATATGTATATATTAAATATACATACATACAGTATATATTTAATATATACACATACAGTATTTATACTTAACATACATATATGTATGTATATTATATATACTGATGCATATATGTGTATATATACAGTATACAGATATGTACTATATACAGATATGCAGATATATACAGAAATGTACTATATACATATATACTGTATACATATGTATACTGTATACATATATTACTGTATTCATATATGTACATATATGAATACAGTATATATATTTAATATTGATATAATTGGAGTGTGAGTAAAAATGGCCATCAAGAATTGAATTGAGAGAACTTAGGACAAAAACAAAGTTTAAAGATGCTGAATTACATACAGCTTGGGACAGAGCTGAATTACAGATGTGAGAAAACAACTGGATATGTGGGGCTTTCCAAGGGAGAAGAGAAGATGGTCTAGGACTGACCCTGAGAAAAGCTCACATGTACAGAACAGCAGAAAGAAGGTAACAGAGACATTACTTTCCCCTCTGATTTGAACCTCCCTCTGAAAAACCAGTCTGCACTGTGCAATGTGGAGGAGAGACAGACAACAAGGATTTTTCTTGAATAAAATCCAATATGACTTTACTCTTCACTCCTCAGCTATATATTGGTAGAACAATTTGAAATCATTTATTTGGCCAGATGACTAATGTTGTTTAACACTACAATTAACTAATAAATAATTGTAAAGCACTTTGTAAATATAAAGTGCTACATAAATGTTTCATAATAACATTAAACAGGAGGCTTAAGTTACATTTTTATATTCAAGTATTTTATTGGTTATCGCAGGAGAAATACCAAAAATATGATCAAATGCCATTATTACAGTCTGTGTTTGAAAAATACAGCAAAGTGATTATAGGAAAACAAAAACAACCTTGGCCATGCTAGGGTGAACAGAGTAGTAGACTAGCATGAAACATTTCCCTCATGAAAAACAAGAGGGAATGACAACACGATCATATACATATACATATATACATATATGCAATATTTATTTATTGGAATGTATTTATTGCAATATTATATTATTGATTGATTGATAGAAAAGATAATTTACCAGATAAAACAATGTGAAAGACACAGAACGTGAGAAAGCACATCAAGGTAGGAGCTCTGAGGAAACCACTTGACACAAGTAGAATCTTACAAAATAAGAGTAACGTTCTATGAAGGACTTAAATTTATAGCTCATCCACTATTTACAACAATGCATTGAGATGTATACCACTAGCACCCCCTATGTTGCATATAAGAGAACTGATGCACAGAGAGATTAAGAAATATGTTCAATATCACACAGCTAGTAAGTGGCAGAGTCAGGATTCAAGCCTAGACAGGATGGCTCCCATGTCTACTGGGAGGAATCTGGGAGAGGTTTTATTATCCCGATAAAACAAGACAGGTGGAGCCATACTCTTTCCTCCTGCCTCAGCACGAGGACAGGAAGGCTGAAGCTGCAACAACTGTATTGGGACCATGAGGTAAAGGACAAGAGAACCACAGAGTCATCAGCCCTGCTGTTGTTAAACTACTTAACCTATGCCAGCAATCACCCACCTCTGCATTCTTATTAGATGAGGACAATTATCCCCTATTTGTGTAACTGACCACACCCAGGACTTCTCCTACTTGCAACCTTAACCAATATGCCAAATAATAATAATCATCATCATAATAGTTATCACTTGTTGAGTGCTTGCTATAAACGAGGCATTATTTTATGTTTTATGTGTGTTTAATCTCTTCTACCTCATTCCAACTCTGTGAAGCAGGCACTATTATTATTACCATTCCATAGATAAGGAAACTGAGGCACTGTTTTATCTGGGTTGCCCAAGGCCACACTGCTTATAAGGGATTTAAATCCAGCACCCTAACTTCTAAACCCTCATTCTGCAGCAAATAGTATTCTAAACAGTGAAAGACTAAAACTATTTCAATTAAAAATCAGAAATTAGCTAGGGATTCTTCCTATTTTAGTATACCTATTCTTATTCAATATTATTTGGAGATTCTAAAGCCAATGTTTCTCAGTAGGATATATTGACATTTTGGGAAGACAACTCTTCATTGTGTGGGATTGTTGCACATAAACATGTTGCCATCTGTGTTGTCTAGGTCCTAGGAGAAGTACTCTCTAGACATAGTGTAGTGTCAGCCAAAAATACCCTCCATGTTTCCCCATACGGAGGCAGTGTCACCCCAGTTAAGAACTATCATTCTAGCGCAAATTTGGCAAACTTCCTCCAAAAAAAGTCCAAATAGTAAATATTTTAGGCTTTACAGGACATGCAGTCTTAGTCTGTCTCGATTGCAACTACTAAACTCTGACATTATTGAGTGAGATCAGTCATTGACAGTACATAAACAAATAAGGGGGCCTGTGTTCCAATGTGACCATATTTATACATGAGAAAGAACCCCGAAGCACCAAGGGGTTAAAAAACTTGCCTGGGGTGATTCATCTAGGAAGTTTACATTCATATTCAACACAAAGGCAGAGTGATTCTAGGGCCTGTGCTCTTATTCAGAACACTATTGATTTCAGATATTTTAAATGTTTTTCTCCTAGTAAAAGGAAGGGTAAATGCCTCAAACACCTCACACTCCAGACTCTGGCCCTCCTCATCTGTCTGGTGTTGGCTGCTCCTTCCTGCAGTACAGGCCACCCAAGATTTGCTTCTGTGACAGCCTGGACCAATGCTACCAAGGATATACCTCATGTTTTACTATGCATGTCCCTAAGAGAGGCTCTCCTGGTTGACTCTAACACACAGTCATCCTTGAAACCTCCCCAAATATAAGATTCTATAAAACTGATCACTAGAATAGTTATTCACTGATCTGTGACTGTTTTTATTTTTCACACCTCAAGGTCTCATTGTCGGTGAGCAAAAACAGAAAGGTCTTAGCTCATGGTATGGCACATGGAAAAGCTCTATAATATGTGCTAATATTAATAAAATATACAGAGTAGCAGGCAGATATCTCTGCTTGAGGAATGAATATGTGTGTAAATTCAGGAACATGCATCCAAGCTAAGAACAACCAAGTCAATCAGAGTGGTACAAATGAGCAAAGTTGTAACTGCTGATTCTGTTAGAGTATCTCAGTCTAGGCTTTAGAGTCCCTACTGTGCTTGCCTAGGAAAAGGGACCCATATCTAACCACCTAGGAGCCATACAGATGGAGCCAATTCCAGAAGACAGTTAATATCATGGTACAGATCAGTGGAGTCTCATGAGACTTGACTGCTAATCAGTGTGTAAGACACAGCATAGTCATTGCCACCAGCTGTGGGGCCAGGTTGCAATTCTTCTATAATAGTAGGCAGGTGGGGGAATTCAGCAATAATACAAAAGGGCAGGCTACCAAAATTAGGAAAAACAAAAATATAATTACCTCATAATGCTTTTCTGGAGGAACCAGAATATGCTGCTTCCAACATTTTCTGGTTTCTGTAGGGATATGCTTTTTCCACCACAGATATTAAATATATTAGGGGAAATTAGGAATAAAGATTTTTAACAGATTGTCCATCCAATTATGTTTAACAAATTGGTAGATTCTTTTCTCTTTCAGTATTTTTTTTTTAACAGAATTGACTTGTTGTTTTTGCATTGTGTTAACAAAACCCAAAACCATGATGGAATTAAAGAAAAACTTCGTTAAGAACTTATAGATGTGAAATATAACAATGTTTGTGATAAATACACATTTCAAATCTCTAATGCTTTCATTCAATATGAGTAAAACTATTAAGGAAAATGTAGTTCTAATATTTTTTCATCCATTTTTGTCATCATTTTTTATCCTCTTATGAAATGATTTCTTCTTAATAAGCACAAAGCAAATATAATAAAGTTGTGGTAGGTAAATAACTTTACCTAATATCATTAATTACTAACAGCTCAATTATACTGTGAAGTGCCTATAATTGTCATGAAGCTTCAAAAATCCTTATCATGGATTCTATTATGTATATGATTCATTTAAATTACATTAATTATACAGATTTTAATGAAGCAGAGAGACTACTTTCAATTTTCACAAGTAGACACAATGATCAAAATATTTATGTGCATATCACGTACTTTATTCTGTTGACATTCATAAAATAATTCATTTACTCAGACAATATTAGCACCTTTACATGGGAAGGAAAAAAGGCAAATCTAATTTCTCATGTTTGGATTTAAGATTATATGATCCTTAGATGGTTCTTTTATGTAATATCTAGCACAATTTGGGCAATATTTTTTGGAAAGTAAAATATTTAAACTTTTTGACAGTACTTTATATTAGCTGTAAATGGTTTTTAAGCCACGATTGTTAATTGCATTTGAAAGCCCAGATTCCAGATTCTGACTCTCTGAGTTCAAATACAAAGATACTCAGGCAAGTGATTTTAACATTCTGTACCTCAGTTTAGTAATCTGTAGAACAGCAATAATAACTTTTTAAATTGAGAATTTAAAGAGTGATATCTCAAGTGTTTAAAAGAATGCTTAACCATTAGTTAATGCTATATAAAAGTATTTTCCATTATTTATTTTCCTGCTTGGGAGGAGCTCAATTTGACATGAATATTAGCGATACCCAATTTCACCCACATAAAATGGGTAGGGAGAGCTTTTTATCATTAAAATTCCATGAAAGCAGTGTAAGAAAATCTTGTGGGCTAAATTGTAAAACCCAAAATACTGACTTCCCTTGTGATGTGGCTTTGAATAGTGTGGCAGTGAAAAACTTTTTATCATTCATGTTGTTATTAAAACCTGTTAGACCAATGACCTAACTTCAACCATATGGAAACGTGGAGAAACTAAGGCAGCCAAAAATAGCAGTTTTTAGATCCAGACAAGTTTGAGGCTAGGAAATGAGGAGAATCGTAGGCAGAGGGTGAAGCAGAAATATAAATTGAAACCAGGTGTCACTTTTCAGATAATCCTCTTTCTTCTCTCCATACTTCCCCTCCTTCTTCCTCTCATATATATGACTGCCAGGACTGGCCAGGGCATACTGAACTCAGCACTCCAAAAAGGAAACTAGTATGGGAACAGATATCATACTAGTGGCTCACATCTGTATTCCCAGCACTTTGGGAGGCTGAGGCAGGAGGATCACTTCAGCCCAGGAGGTCAAGATGAGCCTGGGCAACATAGGGGAGACCCTGTCTCTACAAAAAATTAAAAAAATTGGCCAGGCATGGTGGTGTGCACCTATAGCCCCAGCTACTTGGGAGGCTGAGGCAGGAAGATCACTTGATCTCAAGAGGTCAAGCCCGCAGTGAGCCATAGTTGTGCCACTGCACTCCAGCCTGGGTAACAGAGGGAGACCCTGTCTCAAAAAAAAAAAAAAAAAAAAAAGAAAGAAAATACAGTTGCTTTCTTTTCATCACTCAAACAAAACCAGAAAATTCCACCCTAAATTCATGTGTGACAGACTATTTGTTGTCTGGGAGTTTGGATTATAACACAATGAGGGGTTCTGGTTCTGGAGGACATTCAGTGAGTAGCTGCTTGTTTGTTATTAGAAATCCTATCCTGCTGAAGCCTTTATGGCAGAGGATCTTTTAGACTGTATCAGCACTGGCTTTAAAATCCTTTTGTAACAGTACATTATGGTGGACAGCTTAGGTAGGGATAGAAATAAGAGTGAGGATAGGAGAAGGAAACTGTTAGAATGCTGGGTTCAGTATACTCTGGGCAGTCCTGGGCAGTCCTGGGGAGGTGGAGAGAGTGGATAGGAAGGAAGAAGTAAGTGTGCTCGGGTTATTGTGATGATATTTACTTTGCAAGATTATATTTGTATGTATGTAGGTTGAGAGTCTAAGATTTTATTCTGTATCGCTTAATCATCCAGAATTAGAAAGTCTTTAATCTCTTTTTTTAGTAAATGTTCTTTGGAACCTTGCTAACAATTTGCCACTTTTCTAGAGTGGTTGAACTTGATTGCTTCAAATCTGATCTTATTTCAAGAAATACACTGACCTGCCCTTAAGGTATATCCAAGTAACCTCGATGTTCTTCTTTCTGCTAAAGGCTTCCTGGCAAGCCTCCCTGCAACTTACAACCACTAATCTGGTTAATCAGTGAGGGAAAAAATGCTATGAAAAATATTTGCTTATTAGTTGCTAATTCTAGATTTTATTTATATGTGTATTTTCATAGGCCACATACATTCTTGAAATACAGAAACCTCATTTGAAACAATTCTTTAAAAACTTTATCCTGAAGTGGAGCTGATTTCACTCTACTTTTGTCTCCCACTCTCCTGGCCCACTCCGCGGGGGCAGTGCCAATGAATTGTATTACCCAAGAGGCAGTCAGTGAAGAATAAACAGGGAGAGACAGATGACTCAATAAGCCAAGATTACATATTCAAGACTTGATTAACTGAGTGTTGACCTGTGGTTTGAAAGTTACAAAAATGCTAAGATGTGATTTTTCTTTTAGGTGGGAAATGAAGAAGGATGAAACACTAGAAGAGGAAGAAAAAGCAATACTGGAGCACTTAAAACAAATTTGCACCCCACAGAACTCTTCTGCCTCAGATAACATAGAGGAACAGTAATCTGCAGAAAACAGCAACAGCTTTATTTTAGGAAACAATCCCATGTAATGGAGTAGGATTTTTTACCATAGTCAGAATGAACCTCATATGTGCTGTGAAGCATGAAACCAATGACTGAGTAATCTCTGTACTGAAAAGGAATACAGCACATAAAGGATAAGGTGCTACATATTTTTTTATTTTAAAAATAATTTCAAATGTTTTTCTTTCCCCAATCTTTCTCTTTATATGATATAACTGCTGCCATCTCGTGTTCCCTTTGAATTATTTTTTTCTCCTTTCAGTCTTGAAGTATCTATGACAACAGGAAGAAATGTTCAGAAATTTTTTAAAGGATTTTTTAAATACAACATTTGGATGTTAAGTTGAGTGGAGTCACATAGCCCCAGGAGGTCATCTGAAATTTTTAATTTAATTTTGTTGTAGCTGTAGCCCAAGTCCCAATTTTAATTGCCTTTACTATCCACAATTGTGTCAACTTTCCTCATTCAATTTATCTAATTATAGTCAAAAAAAAGCATTCTCCTGAACTATAACTTTAGTCACACCTCTGCTTGTAGTGGTTTTCAGTCTTCCTCCTAAACCAGAATCAAATTTCTACTCATACATATTCAGGTCCTATACCAAATGGCTCCATGTTCAGACAATTGCTTGCCATCCTCTTGGTTCAAGTCACATGCTTGCCATGTTTTCCCAATCAGAATCCATCTTTCTTCCAAAATTAGGCTCAAAACTAATTCCAGCAATCTTTACCCCAAAGCTCATTAGCTCATATAATGTGTTACTTTAAAATTTTTTCATTGTATTGATACACACACACAAAATAAGAAAACAGAACATGCTCTAGTACCCTCTCTGCCAAGGACAATTATAGATATTTATTATTTCCTTCCTATCACTGCCTGATATTAGATTATAAAGACATTGAAGATATTATGATATAATATGAAGTCTCCCTTTATAACTCCCTGTATGCCTACTACAGTGTTATTTCATCAAGTGGACAGTTAACGAACACAATTGATTAAATAGCTGCCAATGAAAGAAAAAGACAACAAAGAGAATTGCATGGTTGGGCAGTCTAAGAACGTCTGGGAGAAACCATATATATATATATATATATATATATATATATATATATATATATATAATTTTTTTTTTTTTTTTTTTTTTTTTTTTTTTTTTCATTTTAGAAACAGGGTCTTGCTCTGTTGCCTGGAATGTAGTGCAGTGGCATGATCATAGTTCAATGTAACCTCAAACTCATAGGCTCAAGCAATACTCCCACCTCAGCCTCCTGAGTAGCTAGAACTACAGGTGCATGCCACCACACCTGGTTAATTTTTTTTAATTTTTTTGTAAAGATGAGGTCTCACTATGTTGCCCAGGCTGGACTTGAACTCCTTGTCTCAAGTGATTCTCCCACCTAGCTAGAACTACAGTTGTGTGCCACCACACCTGGTTAATTTTTAAAATGTTTTTGTAGAGATGGGGTCTCACTATGTTGCCCAGGCTGGACTTGAACTCCCTACCTCAAGTGATCTTCCCCTCTCTGTCTCTCAAAGCCCTGGAACTATAGGCATAAGCCACCACACCAGGCCCAGAAGCCTTACATCATGGGCTATTTTAGACCATATGACATCAAACTTCATGTTTTCTGATGTTCTCAGATATATAATAAATTGTCCATACTCCCACATTCTGTGATTTTTATAAAATATGTGTAGGCTACATGATTTCCAAAGGAAAGTACTCATGCATTTTTCAAAGAGTAAAAGCTTGGGGTGCAGAGGAGGCCACATTAGGAAATCTCTTACATTTTTTCTTTAAATAAAAATACATAAATGGCCATGTAGACAGCTGCCTGCCAAATAACACATTTTATTTTTAAAAAATGTACTTTAGTTGGCCAGTATAATCATAAACCAAGTGTTTTTAAGATTTGGTTGAAGTAATTTCTAAAAATTCTATGAAGACCATTTAGAAAATGGTAGGAAAATTTTATGAGAACTGGACATTCCATCTAATCTGATCTTTAAACAGGTTACTATAACAATCAACATAAGGCAACAGTTGACTTTATTCCTTCAGCTAAGTGGTGGTCTGTGTACTAAATCTGCATAACTGTGCTTCATTAGACAAGATGCAAAAATGGAAAGTTAAAAATAAATTAATCCAATAAACTAGATACAACATCTTATAAAATTACAGGATTTCACATTTGGATTGTCTTCTAATATATCTAAACGTCATCTTTTAAAGCTATTATTATTGAATTCGTATATTCCTGTATTAATCCTGGGAAGTAATTTTGCTCCTCCAGAAAAAATCTTTTCTGTGGCTCCCTTTTGAAAGAAAGGAAGTATAGTAAGGGGAAAATGGGATGAGTTTAAAGGAAGATAAAAGTAGGAGAGAAAGAGGCCTTGCAGTTGAATTCTATTCTGTGCTTGTTCAGTGAAATTATTATAGCCATAAGTGCAATAAAGTTTATAATTGAGAGTATTAGGTGACAAGTCATTGATTTATCAGATTATTTTGACTTTATACTCAATATGTTTTTTTTTTTTTTTTTTTTTTTTTTTTGAGACGGAGTCTCGCTCTGTCGCCCAGGCCGGACTGCGGACTGCAGTGGCGCAATCTCGGCTCACTGCAAGCTCCGCTTCCCGGGTTCACGCCATTCTCCTGCCTCAGCCTCCCGAGTAGCTGGGACTACAGGCGCCCGCCACCGCGCCCGGCTACTTTTTTGTATTTTTAGTAGAGACGGGGTTTCACCTTGTTAGCCAGGATGGTCTCGATCTCCTGACCTCATGATCCACCCGCCTCGGCCTCCCAAAGTGCTGGGATTACAGGCGTGAGCCACCGCGCCCGGCCATGTTTTTTTAAGTATAATAAGAAGTGGTATTTCAAAGCAGTTTTTGTTTCTCACATTTGTGTGAGTTAACAACAGGAATGAAGCCTAACAGTTTATATCTCCCCATATGCTTATTACAAAAATATTATCTTCCTATAAAGTATGATCTTCCTTCTGTGTTCTGCTTAATTGTATTTTTATGTAATTATATAGAGATATCTATTTTATTATTGGTTTAGCAGTTACTATGTGAAAACAGTATGAAATAATTTTTAAATAAATTATAAAGAATATTGTCTATTTCAGATATTTTATATTTTTGTCATCTCTACCAAACACTATTATAGAACTACTAACCAAAGAATGGAAAAAAGAAATCACTTGTTTTGTTTAACAAGATGTGCCTACTCATAATGTCCTATTACCCCAGTTTATATATACCTGGGTCAAAGAAAGTTTCAGGTAGTTCATAATTATCATTCGTTACTGTAAAAAAAATTTAAGATTTTTTAATACCTCCCTTTATAATTGAAATGTTTCATGGAAAAGAAAACAGCTGTATTCAGCCTTAAAAAGAAATGAATTTCTGTCATATGCTGCGACATGGATGAACCTTGATCACATTATGCTAAGTTAAATAAGCCAGTCCCTAAAAGACAAATAACGTGCGATTCCGCTTACATGAGGTATCTAAAGTAGTCAAATGCAGAGAAGCAGAAATTAGATTGGCGGTTACCAGGGGGTGGGGGAGGAGGAAAAGGGGAATGGTTGTTCAAAGGGTATAGAGTTTCAGATTTATAAGATGACAAAGTTCTGGAGATCTGTTTCACAAGAATGTGAATACCCCTAAACTGTATACTTCAACATGGTTGGGAGAGATTGCTGAGAAAGCAGCTTCAAGATGGCTGACTAGCTACTTTGCTACTCACCTCTTCCACAAAGAAGAACAAACATAGCGAGTAGATAACCACACTTCAAATAAATGATCTAAGAGAGAATACTGGAATTCAACAGAGAAGTGTCAGGAAACATTAGAATAAGGAAGGAGAGAGAAGTGAGGCAGCCTGCTCAGCCAGGATTGACTGGAAGCCCAGAGAGACTTCCTGGTTGGGAAAAGGGTGAGAGACCTCTAGCAGTGCACATTCCCACCACAGGCTACTGCAAACCAAGCCAAGGGAGAGTCCTTTGACCCACGTGGGCCCTAAAACCAACATAGGGAGATGCTTGGGGACCAAAATTAGCCAGGCATGGTGGCGCATGCCTGTAATCCCAGATACTCAGGAGGCTGAGGCAGGAAAATCGCTTGAACCCGGGATGCAGAGGTTGCAGTGAGCCGAGATTGCACCACTGCATTCCAGCCTGGGTGACAGAGCAAGACTCCATCTCAAAAAAAATTAATAAATTAATAAATTAATTAAAAATAATCCTATCAAAAATTGGGCGAACATCAATAGACATTTCTCAAAAGAAGACATACAAATGGCCAACAGGTATGTGAAAACATGCTCAACATCACTAATCATCAGGGAAATGCAAATCAAAACCACAATGAGATATCGTCTTACCCCAGTTATAATGACTATTATTAAAAAGATGAAAAACGAGATGTTGGCAAGAATGTGGGGAAAGGGGAACATTTTTTGGCTTATTAGTTTATTTTATTAATTTTGTGGGTACATAGTAGGCATATATATTTATGGGATACATGAGATGTTTTGATATAGGCATGCAATGCACAATAATCACATAATGGAGAATGTAGTATCCATCCCCTCCAGCTTTTATCATTTGTATTGCAAATAATCCAATTACGTCATTTTAGTTATTTTTAAAACGTACAATTAAGTTATTATTGACTATAGTCACCCTGTTGTGCTATCAAATAGTAGGCCTTATCCATTCTTGCTATTTCTTTTGTACCCATTAACCATCCACATGTACCCCTAATCCCCACAACCCTTCCCAGCCTCTAGTAACTGTCCTTCTATTCTCTATGTTTATGCGTTCAATTGTTTTGATTTTTAGATTCCACAAATAAGTGAGAACATGTAATGTTTGTCTTTCTGTGCCCGGATTATTTCACTTACCATAATGATCTCGAGTTCCATCCATGTTGTTGCAAATGATAGAATCTCATTCTTTTTACGGCTAAATAGTACTCCATTGCATATACGTACCATATTTCCTTTATCCGTTTGTCTGTTGATGAACACTTAGGTTGCTGCCAAATCTTAGCTATTGTGAATAATGCTGCAACAAACATGAAGTGCAAATACCTCTTCGATAGACTGAGTTCATCTCTTTTGGATATATACCCAATAGTGGAATTGCTGGATCATATGATAGCTCGATTTTTAGTTTTTTGAGGAATGTCCAAACTGTTCTCCATAGAGGTTGTACTAATTTACATTCCCACCAGCAGTGTATGAGAGTTCCCTCTTCTCCACATCCTCGCCAGCATTTGTTATTGCCTGTTTATTTTCTCTTTTTTTTTTTTTGATATAAGCCATTTTAACTGGGGTGAGATGATATCTCATTGTAGTTTTGATTTGTATTTCTCTGATGATCAATAATGTTGAGCACCTTTTCATATGCCTGTTTGCCAGTTGTATGTCTTCTTTTGAGAAATTTCTATTCAAATATTTTCCCATTTTTTATTGGATTATTAAATTTTTTCCTACAGAATTGTTTGGGCTCCTTATATATTCTGGTTATTAATTCCTTGTGAGATGGGTAGTTTGCAAATATTTTCTACCATTCTGTGGATTGTCTCTTTGCTTTGTTAGTTGTATCCTTTGCTGTGCAGAAGCTTTTTAACTTGTTTTGATCCCGTTTGTCAATTTTTGCTTAGGTTGCCTGTACTTATGGGGTATTACTCAAGAAATCTTTTCCCAGTGCAATGTCCCAGAGAGTTTCTCTAATGTCCTGGAGAGTTTCCTGTAGTAGTTTCATAGTTTGAGGTCTTAGATTTGAATCTTAAATCAATTTTGATTTTATTTTTGCATATGGTGAGAGACGGGGGTCTAGTTTCATTCTTCTGCATATGGATAGCCAGTTTTCCCAGTAGCATTTATTGAAAAGACTATCTTTTCCCCAATGTGTTCTTGGCATCTTTGTCAAAAATAAGTTCACTGTAGGTGTGTGGATTTGTTTCTGGGTTCTCTAATCTGTTTATTGGCCTGTGTGTCTATTTTTATGCCAGTACCACTGCTGTTTGAGTTACTATAACTCTAGTATAATTTGAAGTCAGGTAATGTGATTCCTTCAGTTTTGTTCTTTTTGCTTAAGATAGGTTTGGCTATTCTGGGACTTTTGTGGTTCCATATGAATTTCATGATTCTTTTTTCTATTTCTGTGAAGAATGCCATTGGTATTTTGATAGGGATTCCATCGAACTTGTAGATTGCTTTGGGTACTATGGACATTTTAACAATATTGATTCTTTCAATCCATGAACATATAATATCTTTCCATTATTTTGTGTCCTTTTCAGTTTCTTGCATCCATGTTTTATAATGTTCATAGTAGAGATCTTTAACTTCTTTGGTTATGTTAAACTCCTAGGTATTTAATTTTATGTGTGGCTATTGTAAATGGGATTACTTTTTGGATTTCTTTTTCAGATTGTTCGCTGTTGGCATATAGAAATTCTACTGATTTTTGTATGTTGCTTTTGTATCCTCCAACTTTACTGAATTTATCAGTTCTAATAGGTTTTTTGGTGGAGTCTTTAGGGTTTTTCAAATATAAGATAATATAATCAGCAAACAAGGATAATTTGACTTCCTCCTTTCCAATTTGGATGCCCTTTACATCTTTCTCTTGTCTGATTTCTCTAGCTAGCACTTCCAGTACTATGTTAAATAACAGTACTGAATGTGGGCATCTTTGTCATGTTCTAGATCTTAGAGGAAAGGCTTTCAGTTTTCCCCATTCAGTATGATTACTAGCTGTGGGTCTGTCATATATGGCTATTACTATGTTGAGGTATAGTTTTGGTATTTGGTTTTGGTATTAGGGTAATACCAGTCTCATAGAATGGGTTTGGAACTATTTCCTCCTCCTGTAGTTTTCAGAATAATTTGAGAAGGGTTGATATTAGTTCTTCTTTAATGTTTGGTAAAATTCAGCAGTGAAGCCATTGGATCCCAGGCTTTTCTTTACTGAGAGACTTTTAATTAAGGCTTCAATCTCATTATTTGTTATTGATCTGTTCAGGTTTTAGATTTCTTCCTGGTTCAGTCTTGGTAGGTTGTAGTGTCTGGGAACTTGACCATTTAGATTTTCCAATTCATTTGCATATATTTGCTCATAGTAGCCACTAATGATCCTTTGAATTTCTGCAGTATCAGTTGTAATATCATCTTTTTCTTTTCTGATTTTATTTGTATCTTCTCTCTTTTTTTTCTTAGTCTGCCTAAAGGTTTGTCAATTTTGATAGCTTTTCAAAAAAGGAATTTTTTATTTTATTGATCTTTTGTATTCCTTTTTTCATTTCAGTTTCATTCATTTCTGCTCTGATCTTTCTTATTTCTTTTCTTCTACCAATTTTGGGTTTGGTTTGCTCCTGCTTTTCTTTAAGATTCATCATTAGGTTGTTTATTTGAAGTTTTTCCTCTTTTTTTTTTGATGGAGACACTTATACCTATAAAATTCCCTTTTAGTACTGCTTTTGCTATATCCTATAGGTTTTGGTAGGTTGTGTTTCCATTATCATATGTTTCAAGAAATTTTTCAATTTCCTTCTTAATTTTTTCATTGACCCACTAGTAACTCAGGAGCATATTGTTTAATTTTCATGTATTTGTATAGTTTCCAAAATTCCTCTTTTTTTGAGATGGAGTCTTGCCCTCTCACCCAGGCTGGAGTGCAATGGCACCATCTCGGCTCACTGCAATGTCTATCTTCCAGGTTCAAGCAATTCTCCAGCCTCACCCTCCCGAGTAGCTGGGATTACAGGCATCCGCCATCATGCCCAGCTAATTTTTATATTTTTGTAGAGATGGGATTTCACCATATTGGCCAGGCTGGTCTTGAACTCCTGATCTCAGGTGATCCACCCACCTAAGCCTCCCAAAGTGCTGAGATTACAGGCGTGAGCCACCGAAAATTCCTCTTATTAATTTCTAGTTTTATTCCATTGTAGTCAGATAAGATGCTTAATATTATTTCAATTTATTTGAATGTTTTAAACTTGTTTTGTCTGAAACCTAACATATGGTCTATCCTTGAGAATGATCCATGTGCTGAGGAAAACAATGTGTATTCTGCAGCCACTGGATAAAATATTCTATAAATATCTATTAGATTCATTTGGTCTATAGTGCACATTAAGTCCAATGTTTCTTTGATGATTTTCTGTCTGGAAGATCTGTCCAATGCTGAAAATGAGTTGTTGAAGTTTCCACCTCTTACTGTATTGAGGCCTAGCTCTCTCTTTAGCTCCAAAAATATTTGCTTTATATATGTGGGTGCTCCAGTATCAGGTGCATGTATATTTAAAACTATTCTAGCCTCTTACTGAATTGATCTCTTTATCATTATATCGTGACTTTCTTTGTCTCTTCTTATAGTTTTTGTCTGAAATCTATTTTGTCTAATATAAGTATAGCTACTCCTGCTCTTTTTTGGTTTCCATTTGCATGGAATATCTTTTTCCCTCCCTTTATTTTCAGTCTATGTATGTATTTATAAGTGATGTGTATTTCTTGTAGGCAACAGATTAATGGGTCTTGTTTTTTCATCCATTCACCCACTCTATGTCTTTTGATTGAAGAGTTTAGTCCATTTATATTTAATGTTATTATTGGTAAGTAGGAACTTACTCTTACCTTTTTGTTATTTGTTTTCTTGTTGTCTTGTGGTCTTCTCTTCCTTCTTTCTTTCCTTCCTGTCTTCCTTTAGTGAAGGTGATTTTCTCTGGTAATATTGTAAAGTTTGTTGGTTTTTATTTTTTGTGTGCCCATTGTATGTTTTTTGGTTTAAGATTACCATGAGGCTTACAAATACTGTCTTATAACCCATTGTTTTAACATGATAACAACTTAACACTGTTTGCATAAAGAAACAAGCAAGAAGAACTCTAATAAGAACTCTATGCCTTAACTTCATCCCCCTGCTTTTTAACCTTTTCTTATTTCTATTTATGTGCTACTCATGTCTTGAAAAGTTAATGTAGTTACTATTTTTGATTGGTTCATTGTTTAGCCTTTCTACTTAGGATAAGAGTTATTTATACACCACAGTTACAGTGTTATAATATTCCAAGTACATTTCTGCGTACTTACTATTACCAGTGAGTTTTGTATATTCAGGTAATTTCATATTGCTCATTAATTACCTTTTCTTTTTTTGATTGAAGTACTCCCTTTAGCATTTCCTGTAGGACAGGTCTGGTGTTGATGAAATTCCTCAGCTTTTGTTTTTTTGGGAAAGTCCTTATATCTCCTTCATGTTTGAAGGATATTTTTGCCAGATACACTATTCTAAGGTAAAAGAGTTTTTGCCTTCAACATGATAAATATGTCATGCCACTCTCTCCTGGCCTGTAAGGTTTCCATGGAAAACTCTGCTGCCAGACATTTTGGAACTCCATTGTAGGTTATTTGTTCCTTTTCTCTTGCTGCTTTTAGGATCATTTCTTTATGTTTGACCTTTGGAAGTTTTATTATTAAATGCTTTGAGGTAGTCTTCTTTGGATTAAATCTGCTTGGTGTTCTATAACCTTCTTGTACTTGGATATTGATATCTTTCTCTAGGTTTGGGAAGTTCTCTGTTATCTCTTTCAACAAACTTTCTTCCCCTATCTCTTTCTCTACCTCTTCTTCAAGGCTAATAACTCGTAGATTTGCCCCTTTGAGACCATTTTCTAGATCCTATAAGGCATGCTTTGTTGTTTTTTATTCTTTTTATTTTTGTCTGCTTTGACTGTGTCTTTTCAAATGGCTTGTCTTCAAGCTCACTAATTCTTTTTTCTGCTGGATCAGTTCTGCTATTAAAGGACTCTCCAGTATGCCAATTGAATTTTTTTTGGCTCCAAAATTTCTGCTTGATTCTTTGAAATTATTTCAATCTCTTTGTTAAATTTATCTGATAGAATTCAGAATTCCTGCTCTGTGCTATCTTGAATTTCTTCGAGTTTCCTCAACATGGCTATTTTGAATTCTCTGTCTGAAAGTTCACATATCTCTGTTTCTCCAGGATTGGTCCCTGGTGCCTTACTTGGTTCATTTGGTGAGGTCATGTTTTCCTGGATGTTGTTAATGCTAGTAGATGTTCTTTTGTGTCTGGGCATTGAAGAGCTAGGTATTTATTGTAGTCTTCACTGTCTGGGCTTGTTTGAACATGTCCTTATTGGAAAGCTCTCCAGACTTTTGAAAGGACTTGGGCATTGTCATCCAGGTTGTATCTGCTTTGAGGAGCACCCCAAGACTAGTAACACATGGTTCCTGTGAAAAGAGAACTCTTATACATGTTGGTGAGAATGTAAATTAGTACAACCTCTATGGAAAATAGTATGGAGATTTCTCAAAATCCTAAAAATAGAACTACTTTATGATCCAGCAGTCCCACTACTGGGTATTCATCCAAAGGAAATGAAATCAGTATATCTAAAGGATACCTGCATTGTATGTTTATTACATCATTATTTATAATAGCAAATATATGGAATTACCTAAGTTTCCATCAATAGATGAATGGAAAAAATGTGATATATATACACAATGGAATTCTATTTGGCCATAAGAAAATATGGTATATATACACAATGGAATACTATTGGCCCATAAAAAAAGAATGAAATCTTGTCAATTGCATCAACATGGATAGAACTGGAAATTTTGTGTTAAGTGGAATAAGATAGGCACAGAAATACAAATAGTGCATGTTCTCACTCACATGTGGGAGCTTAAAAAGTTGATATCATGGAGGTAGAGAGTAGAGTGATAACAGAGACTGGGAAGGGTATGTGGGCAGGAAGAGGGAATGAAGAGAAGTTGGTGAATCCTTACACACAGTTAGGTAGAAGGTATACGTTCTAAAGTTGGATAGCACAGTAAGGTGAGTATAGTTAGCAACAATGTATTGTATACTTCAGAATAGCTAGAAGAGAGGATATGAATTGTTTCCAACACATAGAAATTACAAATACTCAAGGTGATGGAAACTCCAAATACCCTGACTTGATCCTTACATGTTCTATCCATGTAACAAAATATGACATGTACCCCATGAATATGTAAAATATTATGTATCAATATTAAAATAAAAAAGTTGTTGCAGAATTTAAGTAAAAATAATGTTTGAAAACTTGAAAGTGAAAAAAGTAATGTATATACTCCCCTAATGTATGTGAGTGGATAGTTGTATCTAAACAAATACATTTAATATTATAAATGTAAAAAAAAGGTTAAGTTGGTAAATATTATGTTACATGTTTTTACCACAAATTAAAAGAACGTGTACATAGACCCACCACTGACAAACATTGCTAATGTGATGCCAGAAAGCACCTGAATTTTAATAGAAAACTATAAAACCAGTATATTCCACATCAGTTATAATAGCACGATGAATAGAATAGTACCTTGCATCTCAATATTAACATTAAATGTAAATGGCCTAAATGCTCCACTTAAAAGATACAAAATGGCAGAATGGATAAGAACTCACAAACCAAGTATCTGGTGTCTTTAAGAAACTCACCAGACACATAAGGACTCACATAAACTTAATGTAAAGAGATGGAAAAAGATATTCCATGCAAATTGACACCAAAAAAGAGCAGGAGTAGCTATTCTTATATCAGAAAAAACAAACTTTAAAGCAAAAGGAGTTAAAAAAAAAAAGTCAAAGAGGGACATTATATAATGATAAAAGGACTAGTCCAACAGGAAAATATCACAATCCTAAATATATACGCACCTAACACTGGAGCTCCCAACTTTATCAAACAATTACCACTAGACCTAAGAAATTAGATAGACAGCAACACAATAATAGAGAGGGACTTAATACACCACTGAGAGCACTAGACAGGTCCTCAGGACAGAAAGTCAACAAAGAAATAATGGACTTAAACTATACCCTAGAACAAATGGACTTAACAGATATTTACAGAACATTCTACCCAACAACTGCAGAATACACATTCTATTCATTGGCACATGGAACATTCTCTAAAATAGACCATATGATAGGCCACAAAACAAGTCTCAACAAATTTAAGAAAATAGGTTATATCAAGTACTCTCTCAGACCACAGTGGAATAAAATTGAAAATCAACTCCAAAAGAAACCTTTAAAACCATGCAAGTACATGGAAATTAAATAACCTGCTCCTGAATGATCACTGGGTCAACAAAGATATCAAGATGGAAATTAAAAAGTTCTTTGAGCTGAACAATAATGGTGGCACAACTTATCAAAACCTCTGGGATAAAGCAAAAGTGGTGCTAAGAGGAAAGTTCATAGCATTAAATGCCTACATCAAGAAGTCTGAAAGAGCACAAATAGACAATCTAAGGTCACACCTCAAGGAAACAGAGAAACAAGAACAAACCCAACTCAAACCCAGAAGAAGAAAAGAAATAACAAACATCAGAGCAGAACTAAATGAAATTGAAACAAATAAAAAAAGATACAATAGATAAATGAAAGAAAAAGCTGGCCCTTTGAAAAGATAAATAAAATTGGTAGACCATTAGTCAGATTAACCAAGAAAAGAAGCAAAAAGATCCAAATAAAGTCAATTAGAAATGAAATGGGAGACATTACAACCAATACTACAGAAATATAAAAGATCATTCAAGGATACTCTGAACACCTTTATGTGCATAAAGTAGAAAACCTAGAGGAGATGGATAAATTCCTGGAAATATACATCCCTCCTAGATTAAATCAGGAAGAAACAGAAACATACCAACAACAAGCAGTGAGATTGAAATGGTAATAAAAAATCTGCCAACCAAAAAAATGTCCAGGACCAGACAGAGTCACAGCTGAATTCTATCAGACATTCAAAGAAGAATTGGTACCAATCTTATTGACACTATTCCATAAGATAGAGAAAGAGGGAATCTTCCTTAAATGATTCTATGAAGTCAGTATTGCCCTAATACCAAAACCAGGAAAGAACATAACAAAAAAAGAAAAGTACAGACCAATATCCCTGATGAACATAGATGCAAAAATCCTAAACAAAATACTAGCTAACCAAATCCAACAGCATATTAAAAAGATAATCTACCATGATCGAGTGGGTTTCATACCAGGGATACAGGGTTAGTTTAACATACACAAGTCAATAAACATGATACACTGCATAAACAGAATTTAAAACAAAAATCACATGATCATCTCAATAGATGCTGAAAAAGCATTTGACAAAATCCAGCATCCCTTTATGATTAAAACCCTCAGAAAAATCAGCATAGAAGGGACATACCCTAAGGTACTAAAAGGTATCTATGACAAACATGCAGCCAACATTATACTGAATGGGGAAAAGCTCAAAGTGTTCCGTCGGAGAATTTGAACAAGACAAGGATGCCCACTTCCACCACTTCTATTCAACATAGTACTGGAAGTCCTTGCCAGAGCAATCAGGGAAGAAAAATAAATACTGGGCATCCAAATTGGTAAAAAGGAAGTGAAACTGTCTCTGTTTGCTGATGACATGATTGTATAACTAGAAAACCCTAAAGACTCATCCAAAAAGCTACTAGGACTGGTAAATGAATTCAGCAAAATTTCCAGATACAAAATTAATGTACACAAATCAGTAGATCTGCTATAAATTAACAGCAATGAAGCTGAGAATCAAAAGAAGAGCTCAACTCCTTTTACAACAGCTGCAAAAAAAACCCAAAATACTTAGGACTATACCTAACCAAGGATGTGAAAGACCTCCACGAGGAAAACTACAAAACACTGCTGAAATAAATCATAGACAACACAAACAAATGGAAACACATCCCATCCCATGCTCATGGATGAGCAGAATCAATATTGTAAAAATGACCATACTGCCAAAAGCAATCTACAAATTCAGTTCAATTCCCATCAAAATACCACCATCATTCTTCACAGAACTAGAAAAAAAAATCCTAAAATTCATATGGAACCAAAAAGAGCCTGCATAGCCAAAGTGAGGCTAAGCAAAAAGAACAAATTTGGAGTCATCCCATTACCTGACTTTGAACTATACTGTAAGAGTGTAGTCACCGAAACAGCATGGTACTGGTATAAAAATAGGCACATAGACCAATGGAACAAAATAGAGAAACCAGAAATAAAGCCGAATACTTAGAGCCAACTGGTTTTCAACAAAGCAAACAAAAACATGAAGTGGGGAAAGTACATCCTATTCAACAAATGGTGCTGAGATAATTGGCAAGCCACATGTAGAAGAAAGAAACTGGATCCTCACCTCTCACCTTATACAAAAATCAACTTAAGGTGGACCAGAGACTTAAATCTAAGACCAGAAACCATAAAAACTATAGAAGTTAACCTCAGAAAAACTCTTCTAGAGATTGGCTTAGGCAAAGACTTCATGACCAAGAACTCAAAAGCAAATGCAACAACAAAAACAAAGATAAATAGATGGGATTTAATTAAACGAAAAAGCTTCTACACAGCAAAAGAAATAATCAGCAGTGCAAACAGAGAACCCACAGAGTGGGAGAGAATCTTTGCAATCTATATGTCTGACAAAGGACTAATATCTAGAATCTACAAATAACTCAAACAAATCAGCAAGAACAAAACAAACAATCCCATCAAAAAGTGGGCTGAGGACATGAATAGACAATTCTCAAAAGAAGATACACAAATGGCCAACAAACATATGAGAAAATGCTCAACATCGCTAATGATCAGGGAAATGCAAATCAAAACTACAATGCAATATCACCTTACTATTGCAAGAATGACCATAATCAAAAAATCAAATAATAATAGATGTTGGAGTGGATGTGGTGAAAGGGAACACTTTTACATTGTTGATAGGAATGTAAACTAGTACAGCGACTATGGAAAACAGTGTGGAGATTCCTTAGAGAACTAAAAGTAGCTCTACCATTTGATCCAGCAATCCTACTCCTGGGTATCTATCCAGAAGAAAAGAAGTCATTCCATGAAAAACATGCTTGGACATGCATGTTTATAGCAGCACAATTCACAATTGCAAAAATATAAAACCAGCCGAAATGCCCACCAATCAACAAGAGGATAAAGAAAATGTGGTATATATATGCCATGAAATACTACTCAGCCATAAAAAGGAATGAAATAATGGCATTTACAGCAACCTGGATGGAATTGGAGATGATTATTCTAAGTGACATAACTGAGGAATGGAAAACCAAACATTGATGTTCTCACTCATAAGTGGGAGCTAAGCTATGAGGACATCAAGGCCTAAGAATCATACAATGGAATTTGGGGACTCAGGGAAAAGAGTGGGCAGGGGGTGAGGGATAAAAGACAACACATTGGGTACAGTGTACACTGTTTGGGTGATGGGTGCACTAAAACCTCAGAAATCACCACAAAAGAACTTATTCATGGCTCCAAGACAGCCGAATAGGAAGAGCTCTGGTCTGCAGCTCCCAGCATGATCAATGCAGAAGACAGGTGATTTCTGCATTTCCAACTGAGGTAACTGTTTCATCTCATTGGGACTGGTTGGACAGTGGGTGCAGCTCACGGAGGGTAAGCCAAAGCAGGGCGGGGCATTGCCTCACCCAGAAAGCACAAGGGGTTGGGGAATTTCCCTTTCCTAGCCAAGGGAAGCCACAACAGACTGTACCTGGAAAAATGGGACACTTCCACCCAAATACTGCACTTTTCCAACAGTCTTAGGAACCAGAAGACCAGAAGATTCTATCCCGTGCCTGGCTCGGTGGGTCCCATGCCCATGGAGCCTTGCTCACTGCTAGTGCAGCAGTCTGAGATAGACCTGCAAGGTAGCAGTCTGGCTGGGGGAGGGGCATCCACTATTGCTGAGGCTTAAGTAGGTAAACAAAGTGGCCAGGAAGCTTGAACTGGGCAGAGCCCACTGCAGCTCAGCAAGGCCTACTGTCCCTGTAGACTCCGCCTCTGGGGACAGGGCATAGCTGAACAAAAGGCAGCAGAAAATTCTGCAGACTTAAACGTCCCCGTCTGACAGCTCTGAAGAGAGCAGTGGTTCCCCCAGCATGGTGTTTGAGCTCTGAGAACAGACAGACTGCCTCCTCAAGTGGGTCCCTGACCCCCATGTAGCCTAACTGGGAGACACCTCCCAGGAGGGGCCGACAGACACCTCATACAGGCAGGTGCCCCTCTGGGATGATGCTTCCTGAGGAAGGATCAGGCAGCAATATTTGCTGTTCTGCAGCCTCCACTGGTGATATCCAGGCAAAAAGGGTCTGGAGTGGACCTCCAACAGACCTGCAGCTGAGGGACCTGACTGTTAGAAGGAAAACTAACAAACAGAAGGGAATAGCATCAACATCAACAAAAAGGACATCCACACCAAAACCCCATCTGTAGGTCACCAACATCAAAGACTAAAGGTAGATAAAACCACAAAGATGGGGGGAAACCAGAGCAGAAAAGCTGAAAATTCTAAAAGCCAAGCACCCCTTCTCCTCCAAAGGATCACAGCTCCTTGCCTGCAACAGAACAAAGCTGGACGGAGAATGACTTTGACGAGTTGACAGAAGTAGGCTTCAGAAGGTTGGTAAAAACAAACTTCTCTGAGCTAAAGGGGCATGATCAAACCCATTGCAAGGAAGCTAAAAACCTTGAAAAAAGATTAGACGAATGGCTAACTAGAATAGACAGTGTAGAGAAGACCTTAAATGAACTGATGGAGCTGAAAACCAGGGCATGAGAACTTTGTGACACATGTACAAGCTTCAATAGCCAATTTGATCAAATGGAAGAAAGGGTATCAGTGATTGAAGATCAAATTAATGAAATAAAGCAAGAAGAGAAGTTTAGAGAAAAGAGACTAAAAAGAAATGAACAAAGCCTCCAAGAAATATGGGACTATGTGAAAAGACCAAATCTACATTTGATTGGTGTCCCTGAAAGTGACGGGGAGAATGGAAACAAGTTGGAAAACACTCTTCAGGATATTATCCAGGAGAACTTCCCCAACCTATCAAGGCAGGCCAACATTCAAATTCAGGAAATACTGACAACACCACAAAGATACTCCTCTAGAATAGCAACCCCAAGACACATAATCATCAGATTCACCAAGGTTGAAATGAAGGAAACAGTGTTAAGGACAGCCAGGAGAAAGGTCAGGTTACACACAAAGGGAAACCCATCAGACTAACAGCAGATCTCTCGGCAGAAACTCTACAAGCCAGAAGAGAGTGGGGGGTCAATATTCAACATGCTTAAAAAAAAGAATTTTCAACCCAAAATTTCATATCCAGCCAAACTAAGCTTCTTAAGTAAAGGAGAAATAAAATCCTTCACACACAAGCAAATGCTGAGAGATTTTGTCACCACCAGGCCTGCCTTACAAGAGCTCCTGAAGGAAGCACTAAACATGGAAAGGAACAACTGGTACCAGCCAGTGCAAAAACATGCCAAATTGTAAAGACCATCAAGGCTATGAAGAAACTGCATCAATTAATGGGCAAAATAACCAGCTAACATCATAATGACAGGATCAAATTCACACATATCAATATTAACCTTAAATGTAAATGGGCTAAATGCCCCAATTAAAAGACACAGACTGGTAAATTGGATAGAGTCAAGACCCATCAGTGTTGCTGTATTCAGGAGATCCACCTCACGTGCAGAGACACACATAGGCTCAAAATAAAGGGATGGAGGAAGATCTACCAAGCAAATGGAAAGCAAAAAAAAGCAGGGGTTGCAATCCTGGTCTCTGATAAAACAGAGTTTAAACCAACAAAGATCAATAGAGACAAAGAAGGCCATTACATAATGATAAAGGGATCAGTTCAACAAGAAGAGCCAACTATCCTAAATATATACGCATCCAATACAGAAGCACCCAGATTCATAAAGCAAGTCCGGAGGGACCTACAAAGAGACTTAGACTCCCACACAATAATAATGGGAGACTTTAACACCCCACTGTGAATATTAGACAGATCAATGAAACAGAAGGTTAACAAGGATAACCAGGACCTGAACTCAGCTCTGCACCAAGCGGACCTAATAGACATCTACAGAACTCTCCACCCCAAATCACCAGAATATACATTCTTCTCAGCACCACATCGCACTTATTCTAAAACTGACCACATAGTTGGAAGTAAAGCACTCCTCAGCAAATGTGAAAGAACAGAAATCACAATAAACTGTATCTCAGACCACAGTGCAATCAAACTAGAACTCAGGATTAAGAAACTCACTCAAAACCGCACAACTACATGGAAAATGAACAACCTGCCCCTGAAAGACTACTGGGTAAACAACGAAATGAAGGCATATATAAAGATGTTCTTTGAAACAATGAGAACAAAGACACAACATACCAGAATCTCTGGGACACATTGAAAGCAGTGTGTAGAGGGAAATTTATGGCACTAAATACCCACAAGAGAAAGCAGGCAAGATCTAAAATCGACACCCTAACATCACAATTAAAAGAACTAAAGAAGCAAGAGCAAACAAATTCAAAAGCTAGCAGAAGACGAGAAATAGCTAAGATCAGAGCAGAACTGAAGGAGATCAAGACACAAAACACCCTTCAAAAAATCAATGAATCCAGGAACTGATTTTTTGAAAAGATCAACAAAATTGATAGACTGCTAGCAAGACTAATAAAGAAGAAAAGATAGAAGAATCAAATAGATGCAATAAAAAATGATAAAGGGGATATCACCACCAATCCCACTGAAATACAAACTACCATCAGAGAATACTATAAACACCTCTATGCAAATAAAGTAGAAAATCTAGAAGAAATGGATAAATTCCTGGACACATACACCCTCCCAAGACTAAAACAAGAAGTTGAATCTCTGAATAGACCAATAATAGGCCCTGAAATTGAGGCAGTAATACCCTACCAACCAAAAAAAGTCCAGGACCAGACAGATTCACAGCCAAATTCTACAAGAGGTACAAACAGGAGCTGGTACCATTCCTTCTGAAACTATTCCAATCAATAGAAAAAGAGGGAATCCTCCCTAACTCATTTTATGAGGCCAGCATCATCCAGATACCAAAGCCTGGCAGAGACACAACAAAAAAGAATTTTAAACCAATATCCCTGATGAATATCGGTGTGAAAATCCTCAATAAAATACTGGCAAACCGAATCCAGCAGCACATCAAAAAGCTTATCCACCACGATCAAGTCAGCTTCATCCCTGGGATGAAAGACTGGTTCAACATACGCAAATCAATAAACGTAATCCATTACATATACAAAACCAATGACAAAATCCACATTTCTCTCAATAGATGCAGAAAAGGCCTTCGACAAAATTCAACAGCCCTTCATGCTAAAAACTCTCAATAAACTAGGTATTGATGGAACGTATCTCAAAATAATAAGAGTTATTTATGACAGACCCACAGCCAATATCATACTGGATGGGCAAAAACTGGAAGTATTCCCTTTGAAAACTGGCATAAGACAGGGATACTTCTCTCACTCCTCCTATTCAACATAGTGTTGGAAGTTCTGGCCAGAGCAATAGGCAAGAGAAAGAAATAAAAGGTATTCAGTTAGGAAAAGAGGAAGTCAAATTTTCCCTGTTTGCTGATGACATGATTGTATATTTAGAAAACTCCATTGTCTCAGCCCAAAATCTCCTTAAGCTGATAAGCAACTTCAGCAAAGTCTCAGGATACAAAATCAATGTGCAAACATTGTAAGCATTCCTATACACCAATAACAGACAAACAGAGAACCAAATCATGAGTGAACTCCCATTCACAATTGCTTCAAAGAGAATAAAATACCTGGGAATACAACTTACAAGGGATGTGAAGGACCTCTTCAAGGAGAACTACAAACTACTGCTCAACAAAATAAAAGAAGACACAAACAAATGGAAGAACATTCCATGCTCATGGATAGGAAGAATCAATATCATGAAAATGGCCATACTGCCCAAGATAGTTTATAGATTCAATGCCATCCCCATCAAGCTACCAATGACTTTCTTCACAGAATTGGAGAAAACTACCTTAAAGTTCATATGGAACCAAAAAAGAGCCTGCATTGCCAAGACAATCCTAAGCAAAAAGAGTAAAGCTGGAGGCATCATGCTACCTGACTTCAAACTATACTGCAAGGCTACAGTAACCAAAACAGCATGGTACTGGTATCAAAACAGATATATAGACAAATGGAACAGAACAGAGCCCTCAGAAATAACACCACACATTTAGAAACCATCTGATTTTTGACAAACATGACAAAAACAAGAAATGGGGAAAGGATTCCCTATTTAATAAATGGTGCTGGGAAAACTGGCTAGCCATATGTAGAAAGCCGAACTGGTTCCCTTCCATACACCTTATACAAAAATTAATTCAAGATGGATTAAATACTTAAATGTTAGACCTAAAACCATAAAAACCCTAGAAGAAAACCTAAGCAATACCATTCAGGACATAGGCATGCACAAGGACTTCATGACTAAAACACCGAAAGCAATGGCAAAAAAAGCCAAAATAGACAAATGGGGTCTAATTAAACTAAAGAGCTTCTGCACAGCAAAAGAAACTACCATCAGAATGAACAGGCAACCTACAGAATGGGAGAAAATTTTTGCAATCTACCCATCTGACAAAGGGCTAATATCCAGAATCTACAAAGAACTTAAACAAATTTACAAGAAAAAAACAAATGACCCCATCAAAAAGTGGGCAAAGACTTATGAACAGACACTTATCAAACAAGACATTTATGCAGCCAACAGACACATGAAAATATGCTTATCATCACTGGTCATCAGAGAAATGCAAATCAAAACCACAATGAGACAGTATCTCACGCCAGTTAGAATGGAAATAATTAAAAAGTCAGGAAACAACAGATGCTGGAGAGGATGTGGAGAAATGGGAACGCTTTTATACTTTTGGTGGGAGTGTAAATTAGTTCAACCATTGTGGAAGACAGTGTGGCGATTCCTCAAGGATCTAGAACTAGAAATATCATTTGACCCAGCCATCCCATTACTGGGTATATACCCAAAGGATTATAAATCATGCTACTATAAAGACATATGCACAAGTATGTTTATTATGGCACTATTCACAATAGTAAAGAATTTGGAACCAACCCAAATGTCCATAAATGATAGACTGGATTAAGAATATGTGGCACATAGGCCGGGCATGGTGGCTCACGCCTGTAATCCCAGCACTTTGGGAGGCCGAGGTGGGTGGATCACGAGGTCAGGAGATCGAGACCATCCTGGCTAACACGGTGAAACCCCATCTCCACTAAAAATACAAAAAATTCTCTGCACATGGTGGCGGGCGCCTGTAGTCCCAGCTACTCCGGAGTCTGAGGCAGGAGAATGGCGTGAGCCTGGGAGGCGGAGCTTGCAGTGAGCTGAGATCGCGCCACTGCACTCCAGCCTGGGCAACAGAGTGAGACTCTGTCTCAAAAAAAAAAAAAAGAAGAAAAGAAAAGAAAATGAAGAAAATGTGGCACATATACACCATGGAATACTATGCAGCCATAAAAAAGGATGAGTTCATGTCCTTTGCAGGGACATGGATGAAGCTGGAAACCATCATTCTCAGCAAACTATCACAAGGACAGAAAACCAAACACTGCATGTTCTCATTCATAGATGGGAATTGAACAATGAGAACACTTGGACACAGGGCTGGGAACATCACACACCAGGGCCTGTCAGGGGGTGGGGAGCTGAGGGAGGGATAGCATTAGGAGAAATGCCTAACGTAAATGATGAGTTGATGGGTGCAGCAAACCAACATGGCACATGTATAACTATGTAACAAACCTGCACGTTGTGCACATGTACTCTAGAACTTAAAGTATAATTTAAAAAAAAAAGAGCTTATTCATGTAACCAAACACCACCTGTTCCCCAAAACCCTATTGAAATAAAAATAAAAATAAAATGTTAAAAAAGAATGAATAATGCACCTTGAACACAGTTGCAATGTATTGTTGAAAGTATTCTATCTCTGAGTTTCTCGGTCCCAGGACTAAGTCATTAAAAAAAAATCATAGACAAAACTAACCTCATATCTCACAATAAATGACAGTGTTGCCAGACAGTACTGAGGAATACTAGGACAATGACCAAAAGACCAGATGAGACTGACCAAGCCATATTTCAGTAGACCCTACTAAGATTCCCAGTAACCAGCAGGATGAACGTCATCTCAGTGAAGTCCAACAGGAACCAAGAGGTCAGCACATGGATAGAGGCCTCTTGTCCCAGCTCCATGAGGATATTAAAGTTTCCCCTACAACTAAAACTACCTCAGGAAACAAGAGGTAGAAGAGGGTCAAATGTCAGGTGATACATATTCCTCATTAACAGTTTGGCCATTGTATTAACATTTGGCAGAAATCAATAATTTAAAACTGGAAAAGATTAGCTTCAGTTGATAAAGTTAGGGATTTTTAAAAAATCTGCCATCAGTGCAAATGAGAACTACGGAACAAGATGAAATCAGTTACAAAAAATAAAGTTACTGGTGACTGGGTGTAGTGGTGCACACCTGTAATTCCAGCACTTTCGGAGGCTAAGGTGAGAGGATCACTTGACCCCAGGAGTGCGAGGTTGCAGTGAGCTATGATTGTGCCACTGTACTCCAGTCTGGGAGACAGAGTGAGACCCTGTCTCTAAAAAAAAAATAAAATAAATATAAGAAAATTTTTAAAAAGATAAAGTTACTGCAAACTCAATTGTGTTGTACTGTATACTGTGTTTGGCTCTGTCCTAGTAAGCACAGATACAGCTAAGAATTACATAGGCTCAAGATGTTTTACCTTAGGCAATAACATCTACAAGCTGAATTGGTTATCACTGAAGCCAAATGGGAAAAAAAAAAGGCTTGAGAAGGTTTTTCTTTATGCAGGTAACTGCTGATGTGCCAGGAAGTCTTCAGAATAACAACAGGAATGAAGTCAATGGGTCACTGCAGTTGAACTGGGTCCACAGTGGACCCAGGACTGCAGGGAGGAAAGGCAGAGTTTGCTGACAGTTGCCAGTCAGGAAGCATTTGCTATCTGCAGAGGAGGGTAATCCTTTCTTCAGATGAATTATTATTCCAGGAAACCCAAAATACAAGCCAGATATAAAGGTTAAGAAGGCTATTTACATGGTATAAATTTGCTTTCTTATCAAATATCTGAAGCAGTTCCACAGAACTTTGAAAATCACATAAGGAAGCTTCTGGTTCAAGATGGTCGACTGAACAGAAACAACTGTTTCTGCTGAGCTTGGATGTAGTGTGGCTGGAATCTTTTGCCCCAGGGTAGCATGCTGAGAGTGAGTCCCTATAGAAAGATGCTAATCCACCTGGGAAATGACTTCTGGGAAATCATGTGGGTATTGAGGCCTAAAGCAAAGACTGCCCATTGTACCCTCAACATCCATTCTCATTGTTTTTGTGAAGCACATGGTCACCCAGAATCAATCCCAATTCCCAGTACTTAGTAGCATGGTAGCTAAGTGTGACTGTATATCTAAGTATAGTCATGTACCACATAATGATATTTCAGTCACCAACAAAACATATATACAACAATGGTCCCATAAGATTATAATGCCTTATTTTTACTGAACCCTCTCTATGTTTAGATGTGTTTAGTTACACAAATACCATTGTGTTACAATTACCTACAGTATTCAGTACAGTCACATGCTGCGCAGGCTTGTAGCCTATGAGTAATAGGCTGTACCACATAACCTAGGTGTGTAGTAGACTATACCCTCTAGGTTTGCATAACTATATGATGTTCACACAATGACAAAATTACCTAATTTTGCACTTCTCAGAATTTATCTCCATTGTGAAGCAAGTGACCACTAAGATGTAAACAAAAGTGGTGTTAACAACTTCTGAGAAATTCTTAAAGGAAAATTTTCCTCTTCCTTCTGACTGGAATGTGAGCCTATCGGCTGGAGCTGGAGCAGTCACGCTGGGCCAGATGTTGATGGCACATACTAAGTTTGACAGAACAACAAAAAAGTAGAAATCTGGGCCATTGATGATTGTGGAGCCATAAAACTAGTCTGGAGTACGTACACTCATAAGAAATAACTCCTGTCTTGTTTAAGCTGCTGTTATTTGGAGTGTTCTATTACAAACTGCTAAATTTTAACCTCTTAACAAATACATGATATAAGAGAGAAATGTTGCAGACTACCTTGAGGTTACACAGTGCCTTTGAAAAAGATATAAAGGCGGGAGGCAGATGAGAGGAGGAAAGGTATACCAGGAGTGACACTGTCCTTCCCAAAAATAAAATTATTCTGTTGGACACGGGAGACCATGGCTTGCCTGTCTATTTTCCACCCCTATATCCTAAAGGGAATTGTGACTACTGAAAAGCCTGATCTGCTGACCAAGACCCATGTTCTTTCCTCCTGTTCAGATAACATACCTCCACTTATACAATGACAGGAAGAGTCAGTCATGATTTACTTTGAAATGTATTTTTAAAAAGACAAATTAATGGCTAGAGAGAGGGATGAATAGATAGATGGATAAGTGATAAAGCAAGTATATCATGAAATGTTGACAGTAGCATCTAGGTGATAGAGATACATGTGTTCACTGCACTATTTTTTTAACTTCCTGTATGCTTGTAAATTTTTATAATAAAGTATCAGAAGCAAAAGCATTCTAATTATGAATAAACTAATCAACATACCCATTTTATAAAAATGTGAGCAGAAAACCTAGGATTACTAGACACTTGCAGAAAACCAAGAAAATGAAAGAAAAGTATAATAATAAACAGAATAACCAACTTTGGAGGAAAGAGATAATTCAGGAAACAAAAGAAAAGATAAATTTGTGAAAATATTGCAAACATAAAGTAGCATTCCAGCATGGAAAATAAGCAATCATAAAATAAATATTTCTTGAAAATTAAAATTATAATATCTGAATATTTTTAAACATTCAATGACTAAAAACTAACCTGATTATTTGGAATTTAAATAACATCAGCAGATAAAATCTACTGAGTACCAGGCACCATTCTGAGCTCTTTGTACATTCAAGCCATCTTCATCATTCATGTGGATAAATGTAATAGTCTCCCAATTGTCTCCCTTTTCCTTTACTGACCCCCTACAGTCCATTCTTGGAGCAGCTATATGATCCCTGAAAAATGTAAATCAGATCATGTCTCTCCTCTATTCAAAGCCCCCCAAAAGACCCCATTTCATTCAGAGTAAAAAGTCTTAACAATGACCCACAAGATCTGGTCCTTCCCTTTGACCAATCCCTTTTTCCTCTATGATGAGCTCTTCCACTACTCTCGTCTGCTTTCTATTCTTCAGCTCCACTGGCCTCCTCATAACTCCTTGAATATGTTAGGCACACTCTAGTCTTGGTGTTTTTGCTCTACTTTCCCACCATCAATTAGTTTTGGCTGTTCTAATACTTCATATAAATGAAATGATACAATGTGTACTTTTTTGTGTAAGTCTTCATTCAGCATCATGTTTTGAAATTCACCCATTCTGTTACTTTGTTTTTTTCTATTGCTAAGTGGTATTCTTATTGCAGGAAGGTACCAAAATTTGTGTATGCCCTATTTGTTGGACACCTGGGCTATTTAGAGTTTGGTGTTATTATGAATAAGGCCGCTATGAACATTCTTATACAGTTTGGTTTATCTTTTGGCTTTTTAGCTATATGTCTTTGCATTTTTTAGTGCTTGCTCTAGGTATTAAAACATACATACTCAAATTTTTATAGACTGTATAGGTCCATTTACTACTCACCATACCCTGCATTTTATGATATAGCTTTCATATGTATTCTGTCAAGAGATATAATAAACCCCAATAGACAATGTTTTGTTTTAAACTGTTGTATGTATTTCAAAATAATTGAGAAAAAATAATCTTTAGTATTTACTGAGATATTTTTAATTTTGTATGCCCCTACTTCGTAAAGATCTGAATTTCCATCTGATGTTATTTCCTTTTCCATTAGCATTTCTTGTAGTACAGATATGCTCATGATGAGTTCTGTAATTATTCTTTTACCTGAAAATGTTTATTTCCTTATTCTTGAAGGATATTTTATCAGACACAGAATTCTGGATAGCCTTTTTTTTCCAGCACTTTAAAGATGGTCCACTCTCTTCTGGCCTTCACTGTTTCTGATGAAAAGATAGTGATCGTCTGTATCACTGTTCCTGTATGTGAATGTGTCATTTTATTCTGGCTGCTTTCAAGATTTTCTCTTTGTTGTTGCTTCTGAGAAGTTTGCTATGATGTGCATAGGTATAATATTTTTTGGTTTATCCCTAAATTCACTGATTCTTTCCTCTGCAATCTCCTCTCTGCTGTTAATCCCATCCAGTGGATTTTTTTCAATATCAGATATTTTAACAGAATTTCCATTTGGTTTTCTTTATTATAGTTTTTATGTCTCAGCAGATTTACTCTATTTTTATTCAGTATGAACATACTTTTCTTTAAGTCACTGAGCATAGTTATAATAACTCTTTAAAGTCCTGACTGATGATACAAACTTTGGATTATCTTGTGGTCAGTCTTCACTCTTTGTCTTTTCTCTTGAGAATGAGTAACGGTGTAGAGGGTCTCCAAGACTACCCTGACATTCAGGGATTAGATAGAAGGACTCTCAGGACTCATCACGTAGTTCTATTTACTGCTGATTTATTACAGCAATGTAGTGTAGCATGTGTGGGTGTGTGTGTGTGTGTGTGTGTGTGTCTGTGTGTTTAAGAAGAAGGCTCATTATAAGAACATGGTGTCTTAAAAGCTATTTGACCATATTCAACATCTAATATATTGTTGCAATAAATACTGGGAGGTGGAATAAGTTTCTGAAGATATTTGGGAATAATCAGATTGCCAAAAATACAGATATTAAAGTTTACAAGGGGATTAGAATAAAGAAGAGTAATGGTAATTTTGTAATTATGGAAGTTTGTGGAGAACTAGGAGTAGGTAAGCTCAGACTTGCGACACACAATGAAGGGACACATTAATAATATCAGAAGAAAAGAAGTACCCAGAAGGGATTGAAAAATTACTGTCTTGATATTCCAATTATCCAATGGTATAAAAATACCATTCCAATCTTGAAAACATGATATTTACATAATTATTTCATGTAATGTTTTGAATTTTAGTTTCTTTCATATATATACATGGATGTAACTCATATATTGAATGTGCAGCACTTGAATGGGGGACTAGCTATATAGAAAGCCTAATTGTTTTGCTACAAGGACACTCCAAACTTGCTTTGTCAGATATTTTTCCCTATCCCAGAATTAAACCTTAGGTACGCATTAATGCTTTTGTGGTCACATTAGGCTGTCTTGGAATGTTTCATTTTCAGTTATTTAAAAGTTTAGGCCGGGTGCGGTGGCTCACGCCTGTAATCCCAGCACTTTGGGAGGCCGAGGCGGGCGGATCACGAGGTCAGGAGATCGAGACCATCCCGGCTAAAACGGTGAAACCCCGTCTCTACTAAAAATACAAAAAATTAGCCGGGCGTAGTGGCAGGCGCCTGTAGTCCCAGCTACTTGGGAGGCTGAGGCAGGAGAATGGCGTGAACCCGGGAGGCGGAGCTTGCAGTGAGCCGAGATCCCGCCACTGCACTCCAGCCTGGGCGACAGAGCGAGACAAAAAAAACAAACAAACAAACAAAAAAAAACAAAAAAGTTTAATATGATCTAAATCACGTGAACTGTTTTCTAGTCACTACCAGCGTCAGTCCATTCCTTCCTTCTTTCCCTCCTTTCTTTTCTATTTCTTTCTTTTCTCTCTCCCTTCTATCCTCTCTCTCTGCTTTTTCCTTCCCTCTCCCTCCCTGTGTCTCTCTTTCTTCTACTCTTTTATGCCTTGTATAATTTAAATGAGCATTTTATATCATTCCAGTTTCAATTCTCTCTTAGCATGAAAATTAGACCTTTTTTTAAGCTTTTTATAGTGGCGGCCCTAGAATTTGCAATATACATTCACGATTAATCCAAGTCCACTTTTAAATAAAACCGTATTGTTTCATAGTAGTGTAAATACCTTATAAAAGTATTTCAAATTCCCCTCTCCCATCACTTTTAACATTGCTGTGATTAATTTTACTTAACAATAAGCTATAATCCAAATACACTGTTGCTATTATTATTATTTTGAATAGACTGTTATCTGTTAGAATAAGAATAAGAAAAATAAAAGATTTTACCTTTTCTTCATTTGTTCTTCTCTAACTCCCTTTTTCCACGTAGATATGAGTTTCTGACTTGTATCTTTCCATTTCTCTGAAAAATTTCTTTTAACATTTCTTGCAAGGTAGGTCTTCTGGTGACAAATTTCCTCAATTATTTTTTTGTCTGAGAATGTCTTTATTTTTCCACTTTTAAAGGATAATTTCACTGGATACAGAACTCTAGGTTGGTAGATTTTTCTTTTAAAACTTTAAATATTTCACTCTGCCCTCTTCTTGCACGGTTTCTGAAGATAAATTCAATGTAATTCTTATGCTTTTTCCTCCATAGGTAAGGTGAGTTTCCTTCCTCTGGCTTCTTTCAAAAATATTTTTGTCTTTGATTTCCTGAACTTTGAATATGATATGCCCATGTCTACATTTTTTGGTATTTATCCTGTTTGGTGTGTTCTGCAATTCCTGGATTTGTAGGTTTGTATCTGTCATTAACTTTGGAAAATTCTCAGCCATTATTAATTCAAATAGTTTCTCTGTTACTTTTTCAGTTTCTTCTCCTTTTGGTATTCCTATTATGCATAGGTTACACTTTTTTTGTTTGTTTGTTTTGTTTTGTTTTTGAGTCAGGGTCTCACACTGTGGCCTGGGCTGGAGTGCAATGGTGCGATCTCAGCTCACTGCAACCTCCACCTCTGGGGTTCAAGTGCCTGCCTTGGCCTCCCAAAGTGCTGTGATTACAGGCATGAGCTACAGCACCTGGCCACACTTTTCGTATTAATAATTGTCCCATAATTCTTTGATATTCTGTTCCATCTTTTTAATTCTTTTTTCTCTTTGCATTTGAGTTTCAGAAATTTCTATTGACATAGCTTCAAACTCAGAGATTATTCTCTTGGCTGTGTCCAGTCTACTTATGAGCCTATCAAAAGCATTCTTCATTTCTGTTACTGTGTTTTTTTTATCTCTAGCATGTCTTTTTTATGATTTCTTAGTTTCCATCCCTCTTCTTCAAGGGCAGACAATTCCCTACTGTCTTTGCATGTTGTCCACCTCCCCCCTCCTACTTTGAAGGTTAGAAAGAGCTGGAATTGAGTATTTCTGTTCCTCTATGTTGGTAAGCCTCTGATAAGCCCCCAGTCAGGCTCTGATAAAATAGTTTCCCTTAAGGGCATACCTTGTCAAGAAAAACAGAGAGCTCTGGGCATATTTTTAAATAGTTATTTTTCCCTCCCACCATCAGTGACTATTCTCTGATCCTTATAGTGGGAACCTGTTAGGGTGCTTAGAGAGAAAACTCACAAACACTAGATGCCTTAGAGTTTTTAACTCTGAAGCTAGTTCACTGTGAGCCTCCAGTAATTTGTCAATTACAGTTTAAAGGGTCCCTACAGATGGTCGTTCAATTTCCTGGCTTTTGCTTCTAGTAAGCTGTGGCTCTCTGTATCTACCTGATGTAGTTTGAATATTTGTCCCCGTCCAAATCTCATGTTGAATTGTAATTCCCAATGCTGGAGGTGGGTCCTTTTGGAACCAGTTTGGATCATGGGGGTGGATCCCTCATGGCTTGGTGCTTTGTGATAGTAAGTTCTTGCGAGATCTGGTCATTTAAAACTATGTGGCATCTCCCCCTCCCCTTGCTTGCTGCTGCTTTTGCCATGTGATATGCCTGCTCCCTCTTTGCCGTCCACCATGACTGTAAGCTTCCTGAAGCCTCCCTCAAAGCTGAGCAGATGCTGGCACCATGATTCCGATAAAGCCTGCCGAACCATGAACCAATTAAACCTCTCTCTTAAAAAAATAAATAAATAAACTACCCAGTCTCAGTTATTTCTTTATAGCAATGCAAGAATGCCCTAATACAGAAAATGGGTACTGAGGAGTCCAGGGAATTGCCATAAAGATACCTGAAATGTGGTAGCAACTTTGGAACTGAGTAATGAGCAGAGGTTGGAAGAATTTGGAAGGCTCAAAAGAAGACAGAAAGATGAGGGAAAGTTTAATACTTTTTAGAGACAGGTTAAATGGTTGTGACCAAAATGCTGACAGTGATATGGACAGTGAAGTCTAGGCTAGCAAGGTCTCAGATGGAAATGAGGAACTTATTGGGAACTGCAGCAAAGGTCACATGTGTTATAACTTAGCAAAGAGCTTGGAGGCATTGTGTTCATGCCTAGGGATCAGTGGAGGTTTGAACTAAAGAGTGATAATTTAGGGTATCTGGCAGAAGAAATTTCTAAGTAGCAATGCGTTTAACAAGAGGTGTGGCTGCTTTTAATAGCCTAGCTCAGATGTGAAAGCAAAGAAATAAGTTGGAACTTATATTTAAAAGAGAAGCAGAGCATAAGATTTTGAAAAATTTGCAGCCTGGCCATGTGGCAGAGAAAGGAAAAGCTTTTTCAGGAGAGGAATTCAAGCAGGCTGTTGAGCAACAACTTGCTAGATATATTTGTATTACTAAAAGGAAGCCAAGTGCTAACATCAAAGACAATGGAGAAAAGGCCTTGAAGGCATGTCAGAGACCTCCCTGGCAGCCCCATTTATCACAGGCCCTGAGGCCTATGAGAACCTAATGTTTTCATGGGCCAGGGCCCCGCTGCCCTGCACAGCCTTGGGACACCTTTACCTGCATCTCAGCCACTCCTGCTCCAGCCTCAGCTCAAAAGGACCTAGGTACAGCTCTAGCTGCCACTTTGGAGAATGCAAGCCATAAGCCTTGCTGGCTTCCATGTGGTGTTAAGCTTATAGATGCACAGAATGCAAGAGTGAAGTACACTTGGCAGCTTCCACCTACATTTCAGATGTATGAGAAAGCCTGGGTGCCCAGGCAGAAGCCTGCTTCTGGAGCAGAGCCCTCACAGAGAACCTCTACTAGAGCAGTGCCAAGGAGTAATATGGGGTTGGAGCTCCCACACAGAGTCCCTAAGCGGGGACTGCCTAATAAAGCTGTGAGAAAGGGGTCATCCTCTTCCAGACCCCAGAATGGTAGATCCACTGTCAGCTTGCACCTTGCACCTGGATAAACTGCAGGCATTCAACTCCAAACCATGAGAGCAGCCCTGGGGGCTGAACCCGGCAAAGCCACAGGGGTGGAGCTGCCCAAGACTTGGGAGCCCATCCGTTGTACTCTAGATGCAAAACATGGAGTCAAAGAAAACTATTTTGGAACTTTAAGATTTAATGACTGCCTGCTGGGTTTGAACTTGCATGGGGCCTATAGCCCCTTTCTTTGGGCTGATTTCTCCCTTTTGGAGTGGGAATGTTACCCAATACCTATACCTCCATTGTATCTTGGAAGTAACTCACTTGTTTTTTATTTTGCAGGCTCATAGGTGGGAGGGATTTGCCTTGTCTCAGATGAGACTTGAGACTTTTTTGTGGGGGGTGGGGTAGCTGGAGTGCAGTGGCATGATCTCAGCTCACTGTAACCTCTGCTTCCAGGCTTCAAGTGATTCTCCTGCCTTAGCCTCCCAAGTAGCTGAGATCACGGGTGTACACCACCATACTCAGCTAATTTTTGTATTTTTAGTAGAGATGGGTTTTCACCATGTTGGCCAGGCTTGTCTTGAACTCCTGACCTCAAGTGATACACCTGCCTTGGCCTCTCAATATACTGGGATTACAGGCACGAGCCACCACGCCTGCCAAGACTTGAGACTTTTGAGTTAATGTTGAAATGAGTTAAGATTTTGGGGGCACTGTTGGGAAGGCATGATTGTATTCTGCAAAGTAAGAAGGACATGAGATCTGGGAGGGGCCGGGGCAGAATGATATAGTTTGGATATTTGCCCCTGCCCTTACTTCATGTTGAATTATAATCTGCAATCCTGGGGGTAGGACTTTGTGGGAGATGTTTGGATCATGGGGGCAGATCCTTCATCGCTTGGTGCTGTCCTTGTGACAGTGAGTTCTCATGACATCTGGTCATTTAATAGTGTGTTATCACCTTCCACCACCACTCTCTATTGCTCCTGCTTTTGCCATGTGATGTGCCTGCTCCCCATTTCACCATCGGCCATGATTGTAAACTTCCTGAAGCCTCTCTAGAAGTCAATTAGATGCTAGCACTATGCTTCCTGTAAAGCCTGCAGAACCATGAGCCGATTAACCCTCTTTTCTTTATACATTACCGAGTCTCAGGTATTTCTTTATAGCAATGCAAGAATGGTCTAATATACCACTGGTCTGTCTAGTTTTGAGGGCAGAAGTTTGCCTTGTGACATTAATTCTCTGACAGATCTAAGAATACTTGTTGATTTTCAGTTTGCTCAGCTTTTGTCTTGTGAAGATGAGCGTGACAAACTTCCAAGCTCCAGGCTCTTTACGTGAGCTGGATTGGAAACTTCCAATTACTTTAAAGTGTCCCTTTCCCAGCATAGGTCTGACCCACAAGTATGCTGGAAAGAAGGGGACATCATCTCTCTTTTCTTTTCTCTCTTTCTTTCTTTCTTTTTTTTTTTTTTTTTTGAGATAGGGTTTCCCTCTGTTGCACAAGCTGGGGTGCAGTGGCACAATCAGGGCTCACTGCAGCCTTGTGCTCCAGGGCCCAAACGATCCTCCCATCTCAGCCTCTCAAGTAGCTGGGACCATAGGCATGTGCCACCATATCCAGCTAATAATTTTTTTGATTTTTTTTTTTTTAATTTTTGTAGAGACTCTATGTTGCCCAGGCTGATCTTGAACTCCTGGGCTCAAGTGATGCTCCCGCCTTGGCCTCCCAAAGTGCTGGGATAACAGGTGTAAGCCACTGGGCCTGGCCCATGATTTGTTTTGTCTCAGTTCCTCTACCTTTTACTTCCCCTTGTCCTACACTAATCCTATTACTTTGAGGTCCTTTGGGGTCGGCTCAGAGGTGGGAGAAAAAGGCTATTATAAATTGGAATTGTTGTCCTCTCTGTAGCAAATGCCCAAATACCGGTGCTGTCATTAGGCACTTTAGTATAATTTTGGAGATTCATCCAAAATTCAGGAACTCTAACACTGACATTCTCTAGTACATGGGGTGAATGTCCCAGTCAGCATCTCACAATTCCCATGGATCTCCTCTTCTGGTGGCTTACTTCACACAACCTCATTCTGCTGGCTGGTTTGCTTCTTCTTTCTTTCTACTAGATTTGATTCTCTCCTTTTTCAAAAATAATTATACTTCAGTGTTGTGGGTTGAATTTTATCTTCCACAAAAGATATGGTGAAGTCTTTCCTAACCTCAACTACCTCCGAATGTGTCCTTATTTGGAACTAATGTCATCACAGAGGTAATCAAGTTAAAATAACGTCATTAAGGTTAGACTGAATCCAATATGACTTGTGTTCCTATAAAAGGGAAAACTTTTGATGCAGAGACAAGCACACAGGGAAAATGCCAAGTGAAGATAAAGGCAGAAATCTGGGTGACGCATCTACAATCCAAAGAACACCAAAGATAGCCAGCAAACTACCAGAAGCTAGGAGGAAAGCACGGAACAGATTCTCTCTCACAGTCCTCAGAAGGAACCAGCCCTGCCATGACCTTGATCTTGGACTTCTAGTCTTCAGAACTATGAAAAAATGAATTTATGTTGTGTAAGCCACCCAGTCTGAAATACTTTGTTATGGTAGGCCTAGAAAACGAATACACCCATCCATGTATGATCATGTCCACTAGCTGTTGGGAAGACATGACAGTTCTTATCTCCTTACTCTCTCATCAAAGGTACCCTCAGTAATTCTCTCGTCTTTAAATATTTTTAGGAAAGAGCCAGGTACTTGACTTTGAGACTGCCATTTATGAAACTCCAAGGTTATTGGCCAAGTGCTTTCTCCATCCCTTCAAAACAGTCTTTTACCATCTGCTGACTCAGTGGAGGTATGAGGTAGTGAAGGGCCAGATCATGCAGGACTTTATAGGCTTATAGAAATGGTTTTGGATTGTATTCTATTTGAGTGAGGAAACTTATTAAAGATTTTGATCAGGGAAGCAACAAGTTCTGGTATGAATTTTTAGAAGATATCCACAGCTGCCAATTGGAGACTAGATTGTAGGGAGGCAAAAACAGAAGCATGCAGAACAATCAATTACAGCATCTATTGTGGACTAGAATAGTTGTAGTAGAGATGCTGGGAATTGGATAGATTTAGGTTACCTTTTGAAGACAGGCAACAGATTTTCCTGAGGAATTGTGTGTGAAATACGAGAGATAAAGAATCAAAGGACAACCTGAACAATTGTAAGAATCAATGTGTCATTTAGTGAGATGAAGAGGTATGCAATAGGAGTAGCTTTTGGAGGTAGAAAATAAGAAGTTTGAAATGTATGTTGAATATTTTAATAGATATGTTGAATAAGAAGTTAGATATATGAATATGAAAATCAAAGAAATCGGGGCTGGATATGGATATTTGGAAGCCATCAGCATCGTGATGCCATATAATAGTGAAGGGAGTGGATGGGATAAACTCAGGAATAAAGGCAGATAAAGAAGGGAACACATCTCAGGCACATTAACATCTAGAGGTCAGGAAAAATTCAGCAAAGGAAAATCAAAGAGCTCCATAATTTCACAAAAGTCAAATGCAGAAAGTGTTTCAAGTTTTAAGAAAGAGGATGTTAAATCGTGTTAAGTGCTGCTGAATGGTTACAATAAAGACCGAGTTGCCCACTGGATTTATCAGAATTGTTTAAATTCTCAGATATCTGCACACAAACTCTTCTTTAGCTCTAACATTTAAACTATTTCAGAAGTTTCACATTTGAGTGTGCATAAGAAGTAAAGATCTAGAGTATAAGCATAACTTCATATATTCTGTACTTTGTGGGCCGTTTAGGGGATTTTCATGGTTTTTTTTTATCATTAGGGAGTTTTATCATAAAGGCTTAGTTTAGAAACAAATCTCTGTTAGGGATGCAGCTACAGCTTTCCACAGCTGTTTCCAACCTATCCAATTACTATTCAAGAGATCAGAAAAAGGTCAGGGTCAGAGAGCCTATCCTTTACATATTTCCTCTTTGTTGTCTTATCTTTACATAGCTCACAAGAAAGCTCACACTATTTTATTCTCTCTTTTCATAAAGGAATGGTGAGAAGAAATTTAAAAGAGAGACACTAAGTAGAAAATGGAAAGGTTCTCTAGGACTAAACTGAAGAAGACTGGTCTCTGTACTACTTAAAACTAATCACCTATTCCTGATGATTTCACTAGTATGACAGAGACTTAATTACCATTTCTCTTCCTTTGCCTACCACCTCTCATCCAAATAAAACTTATATAGGAGTCCATGTGAAATATTGTATAGTAAAGAATTGGGCCTTTCCTAAAGAGAGTTCTGGCCTGTGGCCTCAGATTCTGGGAAATAACCTATCATAGCTGGCAAAAGTGTTTTTGTTTAGGAAGACTGACTATGTCCAACAGTTTTAGGGTAGAGGCTCCCCAAGCTAGAAAGACCAACCACATGACTTAGAGGCTTTGGGTCATGTATCATCTGACCTGAAGACTGAGTTCCATATGGACAATGGATCAGTGATGCCTCCACAATGGAGCCCCTCAAAAATTCTGAATGTTGAAGCTCTCGTGAGCTTCCCTAACTATTCCCATTTAGGAAAATAAGTGCAGCTCACTGCCAGTGCTCATTTAATTTTACATAAACATGCTCTTTGAGGCTGAAGCAAGTCTGATTGATTTTCTATGTGAAAAATAAAATATGAAAACTGTTCTTGGAGTTATTTCTAAACGGAACTAACATCAGAATAGTCTGAATCATCAGAATGATCTCTTTCAGAAAAATCAGATTCATCAATTGAATCTTCAGCCAACAACTGTTTGAGAATGATGTTAACATCACATGTAGGAATGCTTCATTTTCTAGGATTTGACATTTTCAGCAATACAGAATTACTATATTTGCAAATGGAAATGCCACTACTAAAATTTGAATGCTATAAATAGAATGTCTTTTGTTTCAAAAGTTGATATACTAGAGTGATATGAAAATAATAATAAAAGCAAGATACTTCATGGCAAATGCATTAGTCCATTTTCACACTGCTGATAAAGACATACCAAGGACTGGGCAATTTACAAAAGTAAGAGGCTTAATGGACTTATGGTTCCACATGGCTGGGGAGGCCTCACAATCATGGTGGAAGGTGAAAGGCACATCTCACATGGCAGCAGAAAAAGAAGAGAACTTGTGCAGGGAAACTCTCCTTTTTAGAACCATCAGATCTCATGAGACTTATTCACTATCATGGTGACAGCAGGGAAAGACCTGCCCTCATGATTCTGTTACCTCCCACTGGGTCCCTCCCATAACACATGGGAATTCAAGATGAGATGTGGGTGTGGACACAGCCAAACCACGTCATTCTGCCTCTGGCCCCCTCCCAAATCTCATGTCCTCCTATTTCAAAACCAAGCCAATGGTCCCCCAAAGTCTTCACTAATTTTAGCATTAACTCAAAAGTCCACAGTCCAAAGTCTCATCCAAGATAAGGCAAGTGCCTTCAGTTTATGAGCCTGTAAACCTAAAAGTAAGTTAGTTTCTTTCTAGATACAATGGGGTACAGACATTGGGTAAATACAGCCATTCCTAATGGGAGAAATTGGCCAAAACAAAGGGGTTACAGGGCCCATGCAAGTCCAAAATCCAGCAGTCAAATCTTAAAGCTCCAAAATGATCTCCTTTGACTCCGTGTCTCACATCCAGACTATGATGATGCAAGAGGTGGGTTCCCATGGTCTTGGGCAGTTCAGTCCCTGTGGCTTTGCAGAGTACAGTCTCCCTCCTGGCTGCTTTCATGGACTGGTGGTGAGTGTTTGCAGCTTTTCCAGGCACACGGTGCAAGCTGTCAGTGGATCTACCATTCCGGAGTCTGAAGACAGTGGCTCTCTTCTCAAAGCTCCCCTCTGCAGTGCCCCAGTAGGGACTCTGTGTGGGGGCTCTGACCCCATACTTGCCTTCCACACTGCCCTAGCAGAGGTTCTCCCAGAGGGCCCCACCCCTGTAGCAAACTTCTGCCTGGGCATCCAGGCATTTCCTTTCATCCTCTGAAATCTAGGTGGAGGTTCCCAAACCTCAGTTCTTGATATCTGTGCATCCACAGGCTTAAAATCATGTGGAAGCTGCCAAGGCTTGGGGGCTTCTACCTTCTGAAGCAAAAGCCCATGCTGCACCTTGATCCTTTTTAGTTATGGCTGGAGTGGCTGGGATGCAGGGCACCAAGTCCCTAGACTGCACACAGCAGAGGGACCCTGGGCCCCGCCCACGAAACCATTTTTTCCTCCTAAACCTCTGGGCCTGTGGTGGGAGGGGCTGCCACAAAGGTCTGTGACATGCCCTGGAGACATTTTCCCCATTGTCTTGGTGATTAACATTCATCTCCTCATTAGTTATGCAAATTTCTGCAGCCAGCTTGAATTTCTCCTCAAAAAATGGGATTTTCTTTTCTACATTGTCAGGCTACAGAATTTCCAAACTTTTATGCTCTGTTTCCCTTTTAAACTGAATGCTTTTAACAGCATCCAAGTCACCTCTTGAATGCTTTGCTGCTTAGAAATTTCTTCTGCCAGATACCCTAAATCATGTCTCTCAAATTCAAAGTTCGACAAATCTCTAGGGCAGGGGCAAAACGCTACCAGTTTCTTTGCTAAAACATAACAAGAGTCACCTTTGCTCCAGTTCCCAACAAGTTCCTCATCTCCATCTGAGATCACCTCAGCCTGGGTTTCATTGTTTATATCATTATCAGCATTTTGGTCAAAGCCATTCAACAAGTCTCTAGGGAGTTCCAAACTTTCCCACATTTTCCTGTCTTCTTCAGAGCCCTCCAAACAGATCCAACATACTCAAGACTGGGCAATTTACAAAAGAAAGAGGTTTAATGGGCTTACAATTCCACATGGCTGGGGAGGCCTCACAATCATGGCAGAAGTTGAAAGGTACATCTCACATGGCAGCAGACAAGAGAAGAGAACTTGTGCAGGGAAACTTCCATTTTAAAACTATCTGATCTTGTGAGACTTATTCACTATTACAAGAACAGCAGGGAAAGACCTGCCCCCATGATTCAATTACCTCCCATGGGTCCTTCCCACAACACATGGGAATTCAACATGAGATTTGGGGGGGGGACACATCAAACAATATCAGCAAAGTAATCTCAAGGTAAATGCTGCAGCTGCAAGTGCCACTCGTGAGTATTCTTAGGGCAAACAGGAAAAGGGTTACTGGCAATTCTATATTGCATATTGTCATGGATGGATTTTGGGAGGGTAACATGTCTTGACTCCACTGGGAAAGTACAGCAAATAATGGAAGAGTATAGCAAAAGCGCTGTGTTTGGTACCCTTTTGGACTCTGCCTTACGTGTTTCTTCCCTTGGCTGATGTTAGTCTGTATTCTTTCCTTGTAATAAATGGTAACTGTAAAGATAACAGCTTTCAGTGAGTTCTGTGAGACCTTCTAGCAAAATTTCAAACCTGAGGGTGTTTCTGGGAACCCTCCAAACTTGCAGTTGGTGTCAGAAATCAGGGACACCTTAGAGACTGTGCCCTCAAACCTCACAGGTTGTCTAACTCTAGGTAAATATATCAACCTACAAATTGTCTCCATCACAAACTAGAGGCTATTTTATGTTTTTTTGTTCGAAATTCTCTTAAAGTATGTTTTGAACACTGATATGTTATCTTTTCTCATTTTAAAAAAATTCCAGGCATAATGAAAAGGGTGTTCTTGGGTCTAACTCAGTTTTGTGTCCCCAGCATCTAGATGGAAAGTACAAGTGATAGGGGGTTGATTTCAAGTAATAATCATTTTGTTGGAGGGGTCATTAGAAATTATTTGGTTATATGATCCTACTTTTTGGGCTTTAAATATAAACTGAATCTAGAAGGCAGAACTTGTTGTAATTACTATCCACACTTCACACATACTGTCTTAGTCCATTTTCTGCTGCTGTAAGAATACCACACACTGGGTAATTTATAAACAAAGAGATTCATTTGGCTTACAGTTCTGGAGGCTGGGGAAGTCCAAGATCCAGAGGCTGCATCTTGTGAAGGTCATCTTGTGGCAGAAAGCATCACAGGGGGAGAGAGGGTGAGACAGAGTAGTGAGAGTGCACAAGACAGAGAGAAAATGGGGACCAAATTTATCCTTTTATCAGGAGCTCACTCCCATGATAACTAACCCACTCCCACAATAATGGCATTCATCCTTTTATGAGGGCACAGTCCCTATCACCTAAATCACCTCTTTAAAGCTTCACTTCTTAATATTATTACAATGGCAATTATGTTTCCAATGCATGAATTTTTAGAGAACACATTCAAACCACAGCACATTCCTGCTTGGGCTTGAGCAAGGGCAGGAATGTTACTTGATTCTCCAAATTTAAGTCAGAATCCAGACCTCATTCTAATACAGTTGGTTAGTTTGGACAGAGCTTTGCCCTTAGCATCTAATTAAGAATATTTTCCTTAATGGATTTTCTTGAGCTGCCAAAATGTTGGCACTGAGTCCTAGTCATGATAAGTAGGTTTAAATTTTATTTTTAACTTAAATGAACAACATGTAGCCTTGTTAGTATTTTTGGAGGTGTCTGTCTGCTGTATGTCACTGAAATCATTTAATGTGAAGGGTGGGAGTAGATTGATAAAAAGATAGATGCCCAAGGAAGTGGTCTGGAATAGGAGGAGGATACGCAAAATATGGTATAGGGACATTTCTTTGATCATCCTAGTGATCAAAGATGGACCAGCTGTTAGCCAGGAGGGAACAAATCTCCTTTCCTTTTTCCTTATCTTAGTAGGATTTTGAAGTGCAAGAGAAGAGAGGTGGGGAGAGAAACTGAAGTTTCTGGCTTCCCTAGAGATGTATAAATTAAAATTATAAACTAACTTGTACAGTTTAGATGACTATGGTTAAAATGAGGGGACATTTTTGTACTATATTGTGTAGTCATCATTGTAATGGTTTCTGCTAAGCTACACATGGGCTGTTGTAATTCTAACAAAACATCTAAGCCCACATACAATTTTTGTTGCTTTCCCTCCTTTCTCCTCACAGATTTGCAGAAGATATTTTTGTGGTCAGCTGAGGCAGGAGTTTACCATTTAGGGTAGAGTAAGGAGAGAAAAGGACTCACTCTGTTTCAGCACATAACCTCTTCATTCTTGATTTTGACATCTTAGGCAGGATTGGACTTGAAAGGATATTTACTCTTTGGCTGTTGTCATACAGCTATTAGTTTCTTTTGCTGAAAAACAAATCACTCCAAAATTTACTGGCTTAAAGTAACAAGAATCATTTTCATTATCTCTAATTGTTTCTGTGGGTCAGGAATTCAGAACTGGGCACAGTGGGGATGGCTCGTCTCTGCTTTATGAAATTTTGGACCCCAGCTGACTCAATGACAGGAACAATCTGAAGGCTCATTCATTCCCATGTAAGTCCAGCTGGAATTGCAGGCTGAAGCACCCATATGTTTGTTCAATAGTTTACTACTGAACAAAGTACATTCCCCTAACCCTTGAGTGGGCCTCTATCCTGGAAATATTGAAAGGTCATGTCACTCATCTTTTGACCAATCTCCATATTTTATGTAAACATTGGTATATTCTCTTAATGGAATGTTACTTTTTTATTCAATTTTCACTAGTTTTCTCACTTACGTTCTATTTCTATTTCAGGATCCAACATTAAAGTTGGTCTCTTTAGGCTCCTCTTGGCTCAGACAGTTTCTCAGACTTTCCTTGTTTTTCATGACTTTAACTGTTTGGAGTAGTACTGGTCAGGTATTTTGTCTGATGTTTTTCTCATGGTTAAACTGGGATTATACATTTTTGGGAGCCTTATCTTTTTAATATAATCTGTCACTGTTGCAAAAGTCCACCAAAATAAAAATGTTTCCCTCCTCTGTTCAACAATCCTTCAGCTTCCCCAATTGTCTGCAGCAGAAAATCAAATTACTCAGCATGACATAGAAAGCTTTTCAGAATCTGGCTGTTGCCTTCCTCTTCAGTATAAAGTGTCACTCTACAAACCATTTGAGTTCTTTCCGGAAATGAAGCCCTAACAGTCTTGCAATGCCCGAGATTCATTCAGGTACTCAGTTCTGGCTAACTCCAGTGGATTCTCTCACCTTTTACTGCTCCTTATCTCCCGCCACTTACTTACACCACTTTCTTCTTGTCCTATACACTTTTCTAGATTTCCCCAATCTATTATTTACCACTGTGATCATTCAGTCATTCAATAAGTATTTATTGTCTACTTTGTGGACAGGCACTGTTGTATGGTTGAGGATACATTAAAAAGACAAGATTATGTCACTACCATCAGTGAGTTTACATTTTAGGGGGCAGGGTACATTTGCAAAGTACAAACAGTGTGGAAGTGAAGTATACCTTAGAGAGTCTGAGATCTCCTCTCTGAAGAACATAACTGTTGGTTTACTTGTCAGCCACCAGACTTTCCTTCTCTTTAGCTGCCTCAGAGGAGAGGGTATCTAACTCAGCTTTGTTACCCCAGCGTCTAGTTTAGCCTAATTCATTAAATTAACAGTTTTGGACTAAATAAATGCTCTGAGAGTACTATCTAAAAATTAAAAATCAGTTGCTTCCATCCCTTTCCCCAGATTTATCCTTGAAATACCTTTCAAACCTGTTTCTGGAAAAAACATTAATATCCGTAAGATTCCCATTTGAGTCAAGTATGATAACGAGAAAACTTTTGTCATTAGGATGCTAATATTAACTTCCTATTTTACATGTCCTAATTCAAAGGTAAATTTAATCTTCCGAATCTAGACCTCCCGGTTTTTCTGGAGTTGAATGGACAGGGTAAAGTCTGACACACTCTGAGTAGCGGAGTGGGGAACTGGCTGTAAGGACATCCTTAGAATAGTTAAAATTCCGCTGGGAAAACGAGGCTTTAGAGTGGCCTCGTCCTCTACGGCTACCCAGGCAGCCTTCACAAGGAAGGGCGACCAGAGTCCGCCAGTGCATAAGAGAACTACACTTAATTCACGCGGGCCTCTTTCTCCAGTCCACCTAATACCACAGGAACCTACCCAGGGCCCGCGCCCCGCCCGTTTCCGGGTTGTCGCCGCCGCTGCCGTCAAGTGCGTAATGACGTATCAATCTCCTGAAGACCCCGGAAGTGCAACTCGAACTTGGTCGGGGCGCGGATCCCGAGAGGGAAAGTCATAACAACCGCACGAGGGAGTTCGACTGGCGAACTGGAAGGCCACGCCTCCTCCCGCCTGCCCCCTCAGCCCTGTGGCTGGGGGCAGAGCTCAGGTAGGACTGCCGTTTGCGGGGATGTGAGCTCCGGGGGCAGGCCCGGGTCGAAATCAGGAGGGGGCTGGCCTGGGTCGGTCTCAGGCGGTGGTCGCTGGCCCTGGGGACCGAGGCTGTCTGGAACCACGCTGCATTCCCTGCGGACACCTCTGACTTGTGTCTGGGCCTCCGCTGATGGGCAGGTCCCATGTTCCATTTCCACTCTCTAGGCGGGAGCGACGTGTGTGTTCCCTGGATGACTTTCCTTATGTCGGGGCGTACGGGATTCTGGGAGTCCCTGGAGACAGAGTAATGGGCCCTCCTCCGCTTTCTTGCGAGTGGAGGTATTGTGGTTGTTGTATTAATTTTTTTTTCTACAAAAAGTATTATTAACTGCCAGCGCTTTACCAGAAGTCATTCACTGCAGAGGGATTAAAGTGCAGTTATAAAATGCTCTCAAAACTTGTAACATGCATGGGCGCGGGTGGGACGTTTCTCTGGGATGCAGTATGAATTAAGTGTTGAATACTTTTGACTTTGAAATAAAGTAAGTATGTTTTGGAAGCAGTCTTCTCTTTCCCTCATCCAGGTGTTTAACATATTCTTATAGTGCTCCAGGGTCTATATCTGTTGGGCCAAGAAACTCGTTGTGTTTGGATATACTGTATTTAATGACATGCAATGTTGTTGCATTTGTCCATTTCTCCCAAATCCTCAAAAAAGCTGTAGAGGGAAAAATTCTCTGGTTTTTATCTACAAGTGCATTGTATATTTATCAAAATATCAGTGCGATTTTTTAATGTAGTACATGACATCGTTTGCATTAACGCATGCCATATACTGCATAACAAATATCTCATTGATAAGGTGTATTCTTTATCCTACAATGCGAGGGACGGTTACACTGTATACATTTAGCGAATGTAGAAACTGAGTAAGAGAGTATTTTTGGATCTGCTTCGTTAAGGCCTCAGTGACAGTGCTGGTACCAGGCTTCTTTCAGAATTTTCAACTAGGCCTTACTTCCACTTAACCAGTGAATCCTACGCTGAAAAGTTAAGGATGCTCTGGATGCTTTCAGGCTATGGCTGCTCCATATGGTAGAATAAATAGTACCAAGGCCAAGAGGGAAATATTATCTATGAAACCATGAGCATCCACTTGTTTATCCATTTAGCAAGTATTTACTGGCAACCTTCAGTGTGCCGGATAGTGTTCAGGTGATGGGAAGACAGCAGTAAACAAAATAGAAAGTCCTTTTGCTCCTGGAACTTACATTCTAGTGGATGGAGACGTATAATTAACAAGTAAATATATAACAAGTAGTGATTAAGAGGTATAGAGAAAGGCAGGGCGCGGTGGCTCACGCCTGTAATCCTAGCATTTTGGGAGGCCGAGGCGGACGGATTGCCTGATCCCTGGAGTTTGAGACCAGCCTGGGCAACACGGTGAACCCCGTCTCTACTAAAATACAAAAAAATTAGCTGGGTGTGGTGGCGTGCGCCTGTATTCCCAGCTACTCTGGAGGCTGAGGCAGGAGAATTGCTTGAACCGGGAAGGCGGAGGTTGCAGTGAGCCGACATCATGCCACTGCACTCCAGCCTGGGTGACAGATCGAGACTCCGTCTCCAGAAAAAAAAAAAAAAAAAAAAAGAGGTATAGAGAAAAATAAATTAAGGGGAGAGAGAATGATAGAGGATGCTATTTTAGATAGGGTGGTAAGCTCACCCTCTCTGATAAGGGAACACTTGAGTGGAGATCTGAATGAAATGAGGGAGTGAGCTCCGCAAGTATGGAGGAATGAGTTGGCCTAGTACAAAGGCACTGAGACAGGAGCGTGTTTGATATATTTGGAATAGCAAGGATGTAGGCATGGAGGTAGCAGTACTTAACAATCTCAAGAATGAATATTTATTCCTTGATTTGGTGGCATGAGGGATTTTATTTATTTACAGTTTATTTTTTTCAGCTTTCCCAGACAAACCTCTGAGGAGAATCTGGTGTCTGTAGATATGTAGAGATGTTTCTGTGCTCTTCATTGAGCTCTAACAAAAGTAAGCACTATTTACTCAGTTGTATACAACTTGTACTGTCTCTGTTTTTAGAGTCAGATTGGGTTTGCACAGTAGTCATTGGTAACTAAGTATGGAGTATGTCCCTGTACTATGCCAACTTTATTTTTCACTCAGAAGTTTTTCATCATCCCCAACTGAAACTTCATACCTATTAAACACTCACACCTCGTTTTCTGTTACCTTCAGCCCCTGACAACTGCCAATTTACTTTCTGCCTCTATGAATTTGACTACTCTAGGTACCTCATATAAGTGGAATCATGCACTATTTGACCTTTTGTGACTGGCTTATTTCACTTAGTATAATGTCTCCAACGTTCGTCCATGTTGTAGCGTGTGTCAGAATGTTCTTTTTAAGGTGAAATACAATTATCCATTGTGTGCATATGCTGTTAATACATTTTGTTTATCCATTCATTCATCCATGGATGCTTGGGTTGTTTCCATCCTTTGGTTATTGTGAATAATGCTGCTATGAACATGAGAGTGCAAATATCTGTTCAACTCTCTGCTTTCATTTCTTTTCGATATCTCTCCAGAAGGGAAATTGCTAGATCACATGGAAATTTTATATGTATATATATCTATATGTATACTTTTTTTCGAGGAATTGACACACTCTTTTCCACAGCAGCCACCTCATTTTACATTCCCACCAGCAATGCAAAGGAGTCCAATTTCTCCACATCCTCACCAACATTTTGCCACATCCTCACCATTTCTCCACATCCTTGCCAAACACATTTTTTGTTTTTTTGATAATAGCGATCCTGATGGGTGTAAAGTAGTATCTCTCTGTGGTTTTAATTTGCACTTCCCTAATGATTGGTGATGTTAAGCATCTTTTCATGTCCTTTTTGACCACTGGTATATATTTTTGGAGTTCTATGAATTTATTTTAAGATATGATTTAATAAAAATTTTTGGAGATTTATTTGGTGGAGTTTTTAAGGGTTAAGAAGGCAGCCACCATGACTTTTATTGCATTTTAACTCTTTAATCCTGTAATTGTAAAAACTCTCAACTTGTCTGTTGACCAGGTATCTGTAGTAACTCCAAACTTAGAAATTAAAAAAAAAAATACACCATCTTCTATAATAATAAATGAACCTTTTGGTTCAAATTGCCATGAAAACAGTTCAGAAAGCCAAAGACTATCCTGGCCTGTTTTGATTTTTTTTTCTTTTTAATTAGAAGAAAAGGAGTATATTAAATGGCTGACTGTGCCTGTGTAGTAGATGTCGTTTGTTTTGTAGCTGAGAAGAGCGGGGACCAGAAGAGCCAAACAGGATGAAGAAACAGAAAAGACGTGTTCTGGTTCTTGCTGAGAAGAGCAGGTACCAGAAGAGCCAAAAAATGATGAAGAAACAGAAAAGATGTGTTAGATATCAGTGTAGCAGTTTGATTTCACTAGATGGAGAGTGGCAAAGATCAGTAATAGTGATGGATCATGAGCCCCAGAACTGACAGCAGAGGAGAGGGGACCCAGAATCAAAGTGAAAAAAAGTAATATAGAGCTATGCTCTACAGATTGGCATGGGATGGAGGGTAGAATGAGGGAGTGCAAATCACCAGCTTCATCTCAGTATGTGGTTCGGAATTGAGACAGTTGGCCCTGAGTAATCCAGTAAGATCTACTGTATATCAAATAATGTATGTTAGTCCATACAGCTCAACAGTGAGTGTTTGGAAGGTGTGCACTGTATACAGTTCTATAGGAGTAAGCGAAGTTGTTCAGATCATGTGCCACATAATTTCTATTCATAATGAGTTCAACTGAGTAATTTGAGTGTATAATTTAACAATGTCCAAAACTGTAAAAAATTTTTAAAATATAATCTGTTAAGAAGGAAGGGCATTTTTAATAATCCAGAATGTCCAATTGCCTATAAGTTCAAGGTAACAACGTCTTTTTTTTTTTTTTTTTAACTATTGAATGTTTTGTACACTGTCATAATTTATTAGATACTCTTGGGGGTGCTACGTTGAGCTATTTCAGTTATAAAGCTCATTTAAATCAATTACTTTGCTTTAGTTTAATGAATGAAAAATTGTATGACAATTTTACTTGTAACTCCTTGGCAAATTAAAATTGATTAATTTACTGCAGATGAGATGGCAGATGACTGACTCAAGGTTTCACAGCTAAGTTACAGAGAAATTAGAGACAGAAGTGCTATGCTGCTTTCTCTAATATTGTTTGTTGTCTCCATTTGGAGGAAATGATCTCTTTTGTAATATACGTAATTGAGATAATTTTTGCTTCAGAGAAAATAACACTGTGAAGACCATCAAAGCAAAGCATTTCTTCATATCAGATTATTTATGTTTTACTTGGAAATTGCTAAAGGAGTAGTTTTTATTTCATTTTTAAACTTTTATTCCTTTCCAACTTTTATTTTAGTTCAGGGGGTACATGTGCAGTGACCCGATAGGTAGTTTTTCAATTCTCATCCTCTTCCCAACCTCCACCCTGAAGTAGACCCCATTGTGTATTGTTTCCTTCTTTCTCCATGTATACTTAATGTTTAGCTTTCATGTATAAGTGAGAACATGTGGTATTTGTTTTTTTTTTTTTTTTTTTTTTCTGCATTGATTCACATAGGATAATGTGAAGCTCCATCCATGTTGCTGTAAAGGACATGATTTTATTCTTTTTTATGGCTGTGTGGTGTTCCGTGGTGTATATGTGCCACATTTTCTTTGTTCAGTCCACTGTTGATGGGTATGTAGGTTGATTCCATGTCTTTGCTTTTTTGAATAGTGCTGCGATGGACATATGAGTACATGTTGTCTTTTTATTAGAATGATTTATATTCCTTTGGGTAGGTACCCAGGAATGGGATTGCTGAGTTGAATGGCAGTTCTTTCTGTTTTAGGTTCTTTAGAAATTTCCAAACTGCTTTCCACAGTGGCTGAAATTTACATTCCCCCCACCACTGTATAAGCATTCAGTTTTCTCCACAACCTCATCAGCAGCTGTTATTTTTTGACTTTTTAACAATAGCCCTTCCAACTGTTGTGAGATGGTTCTTATTTTGGTTTTGATTTGCATTTCTCTAAAGCTCAGTGATGTTGAGCATTTTTTCATATGTTTGTTGTCCATGTGTATATCTTGTTTTGAGAATTGTCTGTTCATGTCCTTTGCCCATTTTTTATGGGTTTTTTTGCTTTTTAATTTGTTTAAGTTCCTTATAGATCCTGGCTATGGGACCTTTGTAGGATGCATAGTTTGCGAATTTTTTTCTCCCATTCTGTAGGTTGTCTGTTTACTGTGTTGATAGTTTCTTTTGCTGTGTAGAGGCTCTTTAGTTTAATTAGGTCTTTCTTTTCAATTTTTGTTTTTGTTGCAGTTGCTTTTGGAGTCTTCATATGAAATCTTTGCCAGGGCCTAGATTCAGAATGGTATTGCCTAGATTTTCTTTTAGAGTTTTTATAGTTTAAGGCTTTACATGTAAGTCTTTAATCCATCTTGAATGGATTTTTGTGTATGGTAAAAGGAAAGGGTTCAGTTTCAATCTTCTGCATATGGCTAGGCAGTTATCCCAGCACTCTTTATTGAATAGGGAGTCCTTTTCCCATTACTTATTGTTGACTTTGTTAAAGATCAGATGGTTTTAGGTGTGTGGCTTTATTTTTGGGTTCTCTATTCTGTTCCATTGTTTTATGTGTCTGTTTTTTTTTTTTTTCCAGTACCATGCTGTTTTGGTTACTGTAGCCTGGTAGTATAGTTTGAAGTCAGATAGTGTGATACCTCTGGCTTTTTTCTTTTTGCTTAGGATGGTTTTGGGTATTCAGGCTATTTTTCAGTTCCATATGAATGTTAGATATTTTTTCTAGTTCTGTGAAAAATGTCATTGGTAGCTTGATAGGAGTAGCATTGAATCTGTAAATTACTTTGAGCAGCATGGCCATTTAAATAATATTGATTCTTCCTATCCATGAGTAAGGAATATCTTTCCATTTGTGTTGTTTCCGATTTCTTCAGCAACATTTTGTAATTCTCATCGTAGAGCTCTTTCACCTCCCTGTTGAGCTGTATGCCTAGGTATTTTATTTCTTTTGTGGCTATTGTGAATGGGATTGCATTCTTGATTTGGCTCTCAGCTTGGACGTTATTGCTGAAATGCTACTGATTTTTTTGACATTGATTTAGTATCCTGAAACTTTGCAGAAGTTGTTTATCAGATCTAGGAACCATTGGGTAGAGAGCATGGGGTTTTATAAGTGTAGAATCATATCATCTGTGAACAGAGATAGTATGACTTCCTTTTAATTTGGATGCCTTTCATTTGTTTCTCTTGCCTAATTGCTTTGGCTGAAATTTCCAGTACTATGTTGAATAGTTGTGGTGAGAGTGGGCATGCTTGTCTTGTTCCGGTTTTCAAGGGAAATGTCTCTAGCTTTTGCCTATTTAGTATGATGTTTGCTGTGGATTTGTCATAACTGGCTCTTTTTATTTAAGGTATGTTCCTTCAATGTCTAGTTTGTTGAAAATTTTTAACACATGTTAAATTTTATCAAAAGCCTTTTCTGCACCTATTGAGATGATCATATGGTTTTTGTTTTTAGGTTTGTTTATGTGTTGAATCACATTTACTGATTTACATATGTTGACCCAACCTTGTATAACAGGAATAAAGCCATTTTGATCATGGTAGATTAGGTTTTTGATGTGCTGCTGGTTTTGGTGTGCTAGTGTTTGTTGAGGATTTTTACATCTATATTCATCAGGGATATTGGTCTAAAGTTTTCTTTTTTCGTTGTGTTTCTACAAAGTTATGGTATCAGAATGATGCTAGCTTCATAGAATGATTTGACGAGGAGTCCCTTCTCATTTTTTGGAATAGTTTAGTAGGGTTGGTTTCAGCTCTTCTTTATATGTTGGGTGGAATTTGGCTGTCAATCTATCTTTTCCAGGACTTCTTCTGGGTGTAGGCTTTTTATTACTGATCAATTTTGAAATTCACTATTGGTCTGTTCAGGGTTTCAATTTCCTTCTGATTCAATCTTGGGAGGTTGTATGTTTTGAGGAACTTATCCATTTTTCTCTAAGATTTCTAGTTTGTGTAGGTAGAGGTGTTCCTAATAGTCTCTGAGAGTTTTTTTTTTTTATTTCTGTGGGGTCAGTTGTAATGTTCACTTTGTCATTTCTGATTGTGTTTATTTGGACTTCTTTCCTTTTTTCTTTATTTGTCTAGCTAGTGGTCTGTCAATCTTATTTATTCTTTCAGAGAACGACGTTTTGGTTTCATTGACCTTTTGTATAGTTTTTCATGTCTTAGTTTTGTTCAGTCAGCTCTGATTTTGGTTTTTTCTTCTGCTAGCTTTGGGGTTAGTTTACTTTTTTTTTTTTTGGTTGCTCTAGGTGTGATTTTAGGTTGTTAATTTGAGATCTTTCTAACTACTTGATGTAGGTGTTTAGTGCTATATACTTTCCTTTGAAGACTGCTTTAGCTCTGTCTCAGAGAATCTGGTATGTCATTTCTTCCTTTTCATTAGTTTCAAAAAATTTATTGAATTCTGTCTTAATTTCATTGTTTACCCAAAGTCATTCAGGAACAGATTGTTTAATTTCCACATAATTATATGATTTTGAGAGATCTATTCTTGTACTGTGGTTAAGAATGTGGTATAATTTCAGTTTTTTTTTTTTTTTTTTGAATCTGTTGAGAATTCCTTTATGGCTGAGTGTGTGGTCAATATTACAGTATGTGTCATGTGCAGATAAGAAGAATGTATATTCTGTTGTAGTTGAGTGCAGTGTTCTGTAGATATCTGTTAGGGCCATTTGGTCAAATGTCAAGTTTAGGTCCTGAATATCTTTGTTAGTTTTGTGCCTTGATGGTCTGTCTAGTACTGTCAGTGGGTGTCAAGGTGAGGTCTTCCACTATTATCGTGTGGTTATCTAAGTCTCTTTGTAGGTCTCTAAGAACTTATTTTATGAATCTGGGTGCTCCAATGTTGGATGCATGTATATTTAGGGTAGTTAAAGTTTTCATGTTGAATTGAACCCTTTATCATTATTTAATGCCCTTCTTAGTCCTTTTTGATTATTGTTGCTTTCAAGTCTGTTTTGTCTCAAATTAAAAGAGCAATCTGTCTCTTTTTTGTTTTCTGTTTGCTTGATAGATTTTTCTCTATCCCTTACTCTGAGTCTGTGGGTGTCATTGCATGTGAGAGGGGTCTGTTGAAGATAGTATGTAGTTAGGTCATGTTTCTTTATTCAAATTGCCACTCTGTGTCTCTTAAGTGGTGTAGTTAGTCCATTTACATTCAGAGTCAGTATTGATATGTGAACATTTGATCCTGTTATGCTGTTATCTGCTTGTTATGTAGACTTAATTTTGTAGTTGCTTTATGGTGTCAATGGTCTGTGTACTTAAGTGTGTTTGTTTTTGTGGTGGCCAGTAATGGCCTTTCAATTTCATATTTAGTGCTTCCGTAAGGACCTCTTATAAGGCAGGTCTGGTGGTAGTGAATTCCCTTAGTATTTGCTTATCTGAAAAGGATTTTATTTCTCTTTTACTTATGAAGCAAAGTTTGGCTAGATATGAAATTCTTGGTTAGAATTTCCTTTCTTTAAGAATGCTGAATAAAGGTCCCCAGTCTTTTCTGGCTTGTAGGGTTTCTGCTGAAAGGTCAGCTGTTAGCCTGATGGGGTTCCCTTTGTAGGTGACCTCTCCCTTCTTTTTAGCTCCCTTTAAGATTTTTTCTTTCACTTTGACCATGGAGAATCTGAAGACTATTTGTCTTCAGCATGGTTGTCTTGAATAGCATCTTACAGGGGTTCTCTGCAGTTTCTGAATTTGAATGTCTACCTCCCCAGTGAGGTTAGGGAAATTTTCATAATTTTTAATTATGTTTTCTAAGTTGCTTTCTCATGTCTCTCTCTTTCAGGGATGCCAATGTGTCATATGTTTGGTCTGTTTACATAATCCCATGTTTTTTGGAGATTTTGTTCATTCTTTTTATTCGTTTGCCTTTATTTTTGTCTGATTGAGTTCATTCGAAGAATTGGTCTTTGAACTTTGAGATTCTTTCCTCAGTTTTGTCTATTCTTTTCTCAGCACTTCTGATTGTATTATGAAATTCTTTTAGTTTTTCATCTCTATCAGATCAGTTTGGTTCCTTCTTAAAATGACTATTTCATCTTTAAGTTCTTGTATTATTTTATTGGATTCCTTAGATTCCTTGGATTGGGTTTCAGCTTTCTCCTGAATCTTGATGATTCTCCTTGCCATCCAGATTCTGAATTCTATGTCTATAATTTCAGCCTGGTTAAGAACCATTCTTTGGCAGGTGGTGCAGTCATTTGGAGGTAGGAAGACACTCTGACTTTTTTTTTTTTTTTTTACTTTGGAATTATTAATATTATTTCCTATGATATAACATAGTTAAAGCTAATTTTCAGGAGGAAAGTTTCATTTTGTAATTATTCATTATTTACACTATGACGGGGAGGGCTTTAGTATTCTTTTTTTTTTCCTGGTTATTCCTTTTTTTAAAAAATTATTTTAGGTTTGGGGATACGTGTGTAGGTTTGCTACATAGATAACATGTGTCACAGGGTTTGTTGTACATATTACTACATCACCCAGGTATCAAGCTCAGTACCCAATAGTCATCTTTTCTGCTAATTGCCCTCCTCCTCACCTCCCTCTCTTAAGTAGACCCCAGTGTCTGTTGTTCCTTTCTTTATGTTCATGAGTTCTCATCATTTGGCTCCCACTTACAAGTGAGAACATGCAGTCAGTATTTGTTTTTCAGTTACTGTGTTAGTTTGCTAAGGATGATAGCCTTCAGCTTCATCCATGTTCCCGCAGAAGACATTATCTCATTTTTTTATGACTGTGTAATATTCCATGGTGTGTATTTACCACATTTTCTTTATCCAGTCTGTCATTGATGGGCATTTAGGTTGATTCCATATCTTTACTGTTGTGAACAGTACTGCAGTGAACATTCACGTGCTTGTGTCATTATGGTAGATAGTCTTCCTCTGAGTGTATACCCGGTGATGGTATTGCAGCGTCAAATGGTAGCCCTGCTTTTAGTTCTTTGAGGAAACGCTATACTGCTTTCCACAATGGTAGAACAGATTTACACTCCTACCGACAATGTATCAGGGTCTCCACAACTTCGCAGGCATCTGTTATTTTTTGACTTTTTAATAATAGCCATTCTGACTGGTGTGAGATGGTATCTCATTGTGGTTTTGATTTGCATTTCTCTAATGATCAGTGATATTGAGCTTTTTTTCATATGCTTCTTGGCCACATGTATGTCTTTTAAGAAGTATCTGTTCATGTCTTTTGTTTACTTTTTAATAGGGTTGTTTGTTTTTCTCTTAGAACATTGTTTAAGTTCCTTGTGGATGCTGGACTTTCTCCTGAATCTCCATTTTTGCCAACTATGCATCTGATTAAGACAGATTTTTTTTCCCATTCTGTAGGTTGTCTGTTTACTCTGTTGATAGTTTCTTTTGCTGTGCAGAAGCTCTTAAGTTTAATTAGATCCCATTTGTCCGTTTTTGCTTTTGTTGCGATTGCTTTTGGTATCTTTGTCAGGAATTCTTTGCCCGTTCCTAGGTCCAGGATGGTATTGCCTAGGTTGTTTTCCAGGGGTTTTATAGTTTTGGGTTTTACATTTAAATCTGTAATCCATTTGAGTTTATTCTTGTATATGGTATAAGGAAGGGGTCCAGATTCAGTCTTCTGCATATGGCTTGCCAGTTATCTCAGCACCATTTTTTGAATAGGGAGTCTTTTCCCCTTGGCTTGTTTTTGTCAGCTTTGTCAAAGATTAGATGGTCGTAGATGTGTGGCCTTATTTGTGGTCTCTGTATTCTGTTCTATTGGTCTATATGCTGGTTTTTGTACTCGTACTATGGTGTTTTGGTCCCTGTAGCCTTGTAGTATGGTTTGAGGTCGGGTAACATGATACCTCCAGCTTTGTTCTTTTTGCTTAGCGTTGTGTTGGCTATTTGAGCTCTTTTTTGGTTCCATAAAATTTTAAAATAATTTTTTCTAGTTCTGTGAAGAATGCCTTTGGTAGTTTGATAGGAATAGCATTGAATCTATAGATTGCTTTGGGCGGTATAGCCATTTTAATGATGTTGATTCTTCCTTTCCACCAGCATGGGATGTTTTTCCATTTATTTGCGTGTCATCTCTGATTTCTTTCAGCAGTGTTTTGTAACTCTCATTGTAGAGCTCTTTCACCTCCCTGATTAACTGCATTCCTAGGTATTTGTGTGTGTGTGGCAGTTTTGAATGGGATGGCCATTTTGATTTGGCTCTCAGTTTGGTTGTTGTCGGTCTGTAGGAATGCTAGTGATTTTTGTACATTGATTTTGTATGCTGCAACTTTGCTGAAGTTGTTTATCAGCTGAAGGAGCTTTTGGGCTCAGACCATGGGGTTTTCTAGATATAGAATCATGTCATCTGCAAATAGGTAATTTGACTTCCTCTCTTCCTATTTGGATGCCCTTTATTTCTTCCTCTTGCCTAATTGCTCTGGCTAGGACTTCCAATACTATGTTGAATAGATGTGGTGAGAGAGGGCATCCTTGTCTTGTGCCGGTTTTCAGGGGAATGCTTCCAGCTTTTGCCCATTCCATGTAATGTTGGCTGCGGGTTTCTCATAGATATCTCTTATTTTGAGGTATGTTCCTTCAATACCTAGTTTATTGAGAATTTTTAACGTGATGGCATGATGAATTTTATCAAAAGCCTATTCAGATTATCATATGGCTTTTGTCTTTAGTTCTGTTTATGTGATGAATCACATTTATTGATTTTCGGTTTTTTTTTTTTTTTTTTTTTTTTTTTGAGACGGAGTCATCTCACTGTTGCCAAGACTAGAGTGCAGTGGCGCGATCTCGGCTCACTGCAAGCTCTGCCTCCCGGGTTCATGCGATTCTCCTGCCTCAGCATCCCGAGTAGCTGGGACCACAGGCGCCCACCACCATGCCCGGCTAATTTTTTGTATTTTTAGTAGAGGCGGGGTTTCTCCGTGTTAGCCAAGATGGTCTCGATCTCCTGACCTCGTGATCCACCCACTTCAACCTCCCAAAGTGCTGGGATTACAGGCATGAGCCACCGTGCCCAGCCACATTTATTGATTTTCATATGTTGAATCAGCCTTGCATCCTGGGGATGAAGCCTCCTTTATCATGGTGGATTAGCTTTTTGATGTGCTATTGGATTTGATTTGCACGTATTTTGTTGAGGATTTTTGCATCAATGTTCATCAAAGATATTGGCCTGAAGTTTTCTTTTTTTGCTGTTTCTCTGTCAGATTTTAGATCAAGGTGATGCTGGCCCCATAGAATGAGTTGGGGAGAAGTCCTTCCTCCTCAATTTTTTGGAATAGTTTCTGCAGGAATGGTACCAGCTCTTTTTTGTACATCTGGTAGAATTTGGCTGTGTCTCCATCAGGTCCTGGGCTTTTTTTGGTTGGTAGGCTATTTATTAGTGATTCAGTTTTGGAGCTCGTTAATGGTCTGTTCAGGGAATCTGTGTCTTTCTGGCTCCGTCTTGGGAGGGTACATGTGTCCAGGAATATATCCATCACATCTAGGTTTTCTAGTTTGTTTGCGTAGAGGTGTTCATAGTAGTTTCTGATGCTTGTTTTTGTTTCTGTGGGGTCAGTAGTAACATTCCCTTAGTAACTGCTAATTGTGTTTATTTGGATCTTCTCTTTTTTCTTCTTAATTAGCCTAGCTAGTGGCCTATTTTATTATTTTTTTCAAAAAATCAACTCCTTAGTTTGTTGAGCTTTTGAATGGTTTTTTGTGTTTTGATTTCCTTCAGTTCAGCTCTAATTTTTGTTATTGCTTGTCTTCTAGCTTTGGGGTTGATTTGCTCTTGTTTCTCTCATTCTTTCAGTTGTGAAGTTAGGTTGTTAATTTGGGATGTTTCTAGTTTTTTGATGTGGACATTTAATGCTTTGAATTTCCATTTTAACATTGCTTTAGCCATGTCCCAGTGATTCTGGTATGTTCTATCTTTGTTCTCATTATTTTCAAGGAACTTCTTGATCTCTGCCTTAATTTGATTATTTACCCAGAAGTCATTTGGGAGCATGTTGTTTAATTTTATGTATTTGTATGGTTTTGAGCGATTTTCATTGTGTTGACTTATATTTTTATTGTGCTGTGGTCCAAGAGACACTCTGACTTTTTGAGTTGCCATAGTCCTTCCACGGGTTCTTCATCTTTGTGGCCTGATGTTCCTTTAATCTTTGTTGTTGCTGTCTTTTGGATGGGCCTTTTTGCTTTTATACTCTTTGATGCCTTTGAGGGTTTGACTGTTCTTTAAGTTGGTTTCAGTCAGCTGTCTTCATTTCTGGATGATTTCAGGGGACCAAGGTTCAGCTCAGCACTCCTGGGCTGCATGCTCTAACCCTGAAGGGTTGTGTCCAGGCTCACAGCTTTGTTCTCTGGCCCCTTGAGGTTAAGCACCTGCTGTGCTGGAGGAGTTGAGGTGTTCCCAGTTCACTGGTAGCAACACTCATGGAGGGTGCTGACAGAATCCCTTCATTAAGCCAGCGGCAGAGGGATCTGTGTTCGTGTGTGTGTGTGTGTACCAGCGGTGGGGTGGGGTGGTGGGGGGGAGGGCTTTATGTCAAAGCAGTGGAGGGAGGTTGTGGGCATGTGCATTCTGGCAAAGCAGTTGGGGGAGGCTGTGGGCGGGTGTGTGCTGATGGGGGCCTGTATTAGTCTGTTTTCATGCTGCTGATAAAGACATACCTGAGACTGGGCAATTTACTAAAGAAAGAGGTTTAATGGTCTTACAGTTACATGTGGCTGGGGAGGCCCCACAATAATGGTGGAAGGCAAGGAGGAGCAAGTCATGTCTTACATGGGTGGCAGCAGGCAAAGAGAGAGATTGCGTGGGGAAACTCCCATTTTTAAAACCATCAGATCTTGTGAGACTTATTCACTATCATGAGAACAACATGGGAAAGACATGCTCCCATGATTCAATTACCTCCCACTGGGTCCCTTCCACAACACATGGGAATTCAAGATGAGATTTGGGTGGGGACATAGCCAAACCATATCAGAGCCCATCTGCAGAAGTTCTTCGATGGTTAGGTGACATCTGCCAGCTGATGAACTGTGGGGGTGGCCATTGGAAAGTGCCCTTGTTGGATATCTGAGACTATGCTGCAAGCTTATGTGGCCAGGCAGTGACTGGTAGAGGCTGGTAGAGGCTGGCAGACGGGGTGGGAATGCTCAGATCAGACTGGCTGTGTCCCCCAGGCAAGTTAGCCCTGTTCTGTCCAGGCCTGACAGTCAGTATATGCTAAAGCCGCGTAGAGGAGCATGATGAGCTTTGGGGGATAGCCGTCCCTGGCTGTGCTCCACTGTAGCCGTTTCCGCACCAGAGCCTCTGGGCTCTGCACAGGCTGGAGTCCTGTCCCTGCCACTTCTCCAAGCAGCTCTCCCTGCCAGCTCAAGTGTCCATGGGGGTCATTGAGTCTCCTGTAGCTAGCATTCTGGAGGTCCATGGTGAGAGTAGGCCATTCCACGCCTGTTTAACTCACTCCTTCTCTGGGAGCCACTCAAGGCCAGAAATGAATCCTGGTGCTCAGTAACCCTGTGTTGAGTTCCCAGCTTCCTCCTCCTTCAGCCCAGGGTCTGCGTCCTTTCTCTGTTCACTCTCAATGCCTTCCTCCCAAAGATTTGCTTGAAGTTTACTGGTGATCTTGATGGTCTGTTCTCTCGATGGGAGAAGCTCTTCCTCCCTCCTTTTAGCTGGCCATCGTGGCTCTTCTTTCTCTGTATATTTATTTAATCATCGTCTAGATTGATAATGGACCAAGCTTTGCTTTGCTTAGAAGTTAAAGAGGTGCTAACAAGACTAAGACTGTGGATTTGGGCCCTTGTAAGGCCCTTTAATGGCTCTTTATAGGGATGATTATAACCACCAGTGTAACTACTAGCTACTTGGGATATAGCTAGTATTCCTATTCCCTGCCAATCTTATTGCCATCATATGTAATCAAGTATAAGAAAACAGTAGAAAAGATACTTGTAGCTCAGGAGACACACTATTTGTATTAAAAAAGAACAGTTCAGAGTAAATATCCAAGTTAATGAAGGCATACAAGTGATACCCCTTTCCTCTACAAAGCATAGCTTAGTTTTATGTGCTTGTATAAAATGTGGAGCAAGCTACAATTGTGACCAAGAGTATAATCTAAGATGAGGCAAGTAAAAAATGTGAAAAGATTGATGGTTAGATTAGATGCTCTCTTGATTTGAATTACCCATTCTTCTTGATATCATCATTTTTGCCTGTACTATGGAAATGACTCTGGAATTAAGTAGTTTGGAATTTTGTTAATAATCTTGATCCATTTGGTTTAATACACTCTGCTGTAATTGGAATACTTTGATTAAATGGTCATATCTGAGAATTGATGGGAAGAAAGGTCAGATCAGGCTGGTAGAGGATGTTGGGATAGAAAAGAAAGGATTTCTTTCAGTAGGGATTGGCTGAACGGGGATAAGACTCTGGTCTCAGAAGAGATGGAGAGCGGGAGAGATAAATGAGCAGGGAAAGGCCTAAGGTCTAGATAAGGGAAAAAAAACAGATTCTCAGTTATTCGAATCAGTAATAGATGTATACCTAGTGATAAGGCAATCTAGACTTCATATTTGAGGATATTAACCTTCTGGTTGGGTGTCTACTACGAAGGTAAGACTTTAGTATAATGTTTTGTATTATGATAGATGGAAGTATGTATAGGATACTATGGGAGTGTTGTAAAGCTTTTCCTGGAGTTGGAGAAAATTATCCCTAAGTTGAGAACTTAAGGATGGATCATTTAAAATAAAGCAGAAAGACATTCTAGATAGAAGAAATAGCTATTAGCAGTCTAATGTTTGTAAAAACTAAAAGGAATTTGCAATTAGTAGAGGAAAAAATTTGATTGTAGTGAGAGATGGAGTTGAAGAAGGAAATAGGAGCCATGTCATGGCTATCTGTGTGTGCATAAGCGGTGGGCAGAGAAGGCTTGTATAGTTTGCTGAGGAGCTTGGACTTGCCTCTGTAAGCAGTAGGAACTATTGAATGGTTACTCTTATCTCGATTTAGTAAAAAACATAATCTTGCCCAAACAGAAGTCTGGCCTTTGCCCTCACTTTACGGATGATAATGCCTTGGGCCACACTAATGGTATGATTGAGGATCAGGGCTGGCTGTGTCTATTACAGTCTTTGGGTGGGGGCTGCCCATGCCAGAAATACTAACTATGTGACTTAGGGTGGGGCTTTTGGTCAAGTGATATCAGTTAACCTGGAGGCTGACCTCAACCATGTGGGCAGTCAATTAGTCATTCATGCCTAAGTAACAGAGTCCCAAGAAAAACTCTGAACACTCTGTCTTCTGTGAGCCTTCCTAGTTGGCCATACTCTGTGTGTATTGTTAAACAGAAAGCAGGAGAATGACGTGATCATGACGTCATGGGGAGAGGACAATGGCAGTTCCATGTTTGGTACCCTCCTAGTCTCTGTCTTATGTGCACCTTTTCTTTGCTCCTGTTAATCTATATCCTTTCCCTGTAATAAACTGTAACTGGGAATATAATAGCTTTCAGTGAGTTCTGTGAGTCTTTCCAGCAAATTATGGAAACTGAGAATGGTTTTGGGAATCCTCTGAACTTACAATGGTGTGAGAAGTGGGGTAGTTTCTTTTGTGGACTGTTCTGTCTGTCTCTCTAGGTGCAAAAAACCCTTTGCATCATCTTTCTCTGCTTCTTTCTTTCTCTAATTTGGGACAAAATTGGCTTTTCTATTTGAAAGCAGGGATAAACATACCACATTGTTGAAGTAATGCATCTTCTAAGATGAGAGGATATTGGGGAAAATATCAAGACTATTATAATACGAATGTCCCTAAACATATTACAGTCCCCTGATACTTTCCTTTCTAATTGCTATTGACTGAATTATGTCCCTCCAATTTGTATGTTGAAACCCTAACCCCAATATGATTGCATTTGGAGTAAGCAAGTAATTAAGGTTAAATGAGGTCATAGGATGGGACCTTGGTCCCATAGGATTAGTGTCTTCGTAAGAAGAGACACCAGAGAGGCCATTCTCCTGGTCACTTTCTCTTTACCATGTAAGGACATGGTGAGAAAGCAAAAATCTGCAAACCAGGAAAAGAGCGCTTATCAGAAACCAACCAACCCTGCTGGACCTTGATGTAGGACTTCTAGCCTCAAGAGCTGTGAGAAAATAAATTTATCTTGTTTAAGCAACCCAGTCTATGCAGTTTTGTTATGGCAGCCTGACTAGACTAATACAAATTGTAATACCATGAATTGGGATGTTGCTCTACCAAATACCTTAAAATGTACATGTGGCTTTGGAACTGGAAAATAGAGAGGGCCTGGAGAACAGAGTGTCAAACCAAAGGAGATTATTCTTGAACCTTAATGATGGAGTGGAATTTGCCTTTCTAAGTTTGGCACTGGTTTGGGGCATCACCCTTTTCTTCCTTCTTTCTAATATCTTTCTAAGTCTCCCTTTTGGAATGGGAATGTCTATTGTTTGCCTGTCCCACCGTTGTATTTTGGAAATACATAACTTGTCAGGTTTCACAGGTTTACAGCTGGAGAGGAATTTTGCTGTAGGGTGAATCATACCTCGTTCTTACCCATACCTAATTTAGATGATATTTAGATGAAACTTTGAACATTAGGCATTAGAGTTGATGATGGAATCAGTTAAGAATTTTGGGGCTGTTGGGATGTAATGAATGCATTTTGCATGTGATAAGGACATGAATTTTGAGGAGGCCAGTGGCAGAATGCTATTGACTGAATTGAATTTCCCCAAAATTTGTATGTTGAAGCCATAACCTACAGTGTAACTGTATTTGGAGTAAGGAAGTCATTAAGGTTAAATGAGGTCATAAAGGTGGGACCCTGATCCACTAGGATTAGTGTCCTTATCAGAAGAGACACCAGAGAGCTCTCCCTTTCTCCAGTAAGAATGCAGTCTTCTGAAAGGCAGAAAGAGAGCCTTCACCAGAAACTGGTCCTTTTATATCTTTTTCTGGAACTTCTAGCCTCCAGACTGTAAGAAAACAAATTTCTGTTGTTTAACCCACCCTGTGTATGGTATTTTGTATGGCCGCTCAAGCAGATTAATGTACTAATTGATAGCTAGTCTTTTTTGTTGTTGTTAATCAGCAGTTAGATTATTTGTGATCTAGTAGAGCACGGTTTCCTATATATTACTTTTAAAGTTGAGTCATCTGAAATTTTTTAAAAACTTGAAGAAATGTATCAGAAGGACCTCAATGAAGACTTTTAGATTATATATCTTAAATGACTGAGCAAACAACACAGGTATATAAAAGTAGAAGGAAAGATGAAATGAAAGGTTATAGAAAAATAATATACCTGTGTTCATGTTTTAAGAAGATGCAATACAGGTTTTCCCCCTATATTTAGAAAAGAGTTCAATTGAAAATATTTACCTTCTAATAAGATTTATCACAGATTTAAAGAGCTGTGTCCTTTAGAACATTTTAAACAATGAATTTACCCATAACCTGCTACATTGAGGTATTTGTAGGGCTGTAGAGTTAAAGGATGTTTCAATTAGGTATAAAAAGCAAAGGAGCATCTAATAGAACTTAAACTATTAGATATATATTCATCCATAATTATGTGTGTATATATGTTCCTACTGTTTTCTAGGCATGGTGAAAGCATTTTGGTAGACATCTTTTTAGTTGAAAATAGAAAAATCTAGGACAGAATCCATATTTGAGGAACTAAGTATAATATTTGAATTATAAGCATTTAATTAAGTTTTTTACTTACAGAACTGAAATGGAATAACATTATAGAAATTTACAGATAAGATTTCAAGAAAATGTATAACAGAAAAATGAAAGACACAAAAATAAGACTTGGAGTTATGTGTTGGCAAGGAACATAATTACAAGTAGTGACATTAGAGTTAGTCCTAGATAGTCATGATATATCAGGAACCATGCTATCCAAACTTTGCTGTGGCACAGGAAGATACATCATGATTTTTAAATGAAGAAATTTCAAGCACAAGGATATGTACATAGATGGTAAAGACCTAAGAGCAGAGGGAAATATCATATTTAGAAGTTTTATCATAGCTCACCGTAGCCTTGACCTCTCAGGCTCAAGCAATCCTACCACCTCAGACTCCTGAGTAGTTGGGACCACAGGCATGTGCCACCACACCTGGCTAATTTTTTGTATTTTTTTTTTTTTTTGGAAAGACAAGGTTTTGTTTTGTTGGCCAGGCTGGTCAAACGATCCTCCTGCTTCAACCTCCCAAAATGCTGGGATTACAGGTGTGAGCCACTGCACCCTGCCTATTATTTTTGTAATGCTAAGTGCTTTGGAGAGGTGTCAGTACTTGTGCCAGTATAAGAAAGTCATAGTTCAACTGTTGCAAAGTGGAGATAATCATGAAAGCTTGGTTTTGGAAAGTATTTTTGACCCGAGTCTACTTTCTGAAGGTTTACTATTTTCTTGGATCATTGGAGTCATATTTTTATTAATGGTATGTCTGTTTTTGGCCTAGATGTTGCTAAGCTGTATAGGAGAATATCAGTCAATTATACTCTCTATAATGTTACATAGAGTAGACTTTACAAATTGGAGACCCCCAAACTAAGTGAGCGTCCACAATCTTAAATTTTTAAAAATTAGTTTCCATCTAATTTAAGTAAAAATTGGGCTTTTGATTTCTCCTGAAAAATACGAAGTTCCAGTCACACTGTGGCTCCATTCTATATGGGAACAGTGTGGCAAGTCGGAACTCCCTTGAGATGAGCCATATGTTTTCCAGTTTGCTTCAGTTTCCACTCTTCATTCAGTATAAGCTATGACTTACAGGACTTCACTGCTTATGAACAAAGTTGATTTCACTGGAGGCCATTTGAGCCTCTTCTCTCTGGCCTTGAAGCATTAATGATCTGTATCCTGTTCTTTGATGGTCTTTAACTACTTTCTTCAAGGTGGCCAATATGTTAAATCCATTTGTGCTAAGTATTTGACAGGTGGTTGTGACTAGAATATTATTTATAGGTAATAACTCATTATTTTGAAACAGTGAGTGATTGTAATGGTGAAGTTTTATTTGTATTAGGAATACTGCAATAACTGCTAAGAACTTAGACATTTCAGTTTCATAATTGAAAACAAACTATTTAAAACAACCTTATTTATTCTGGATATATTTCCTCAACAAGAAACATGTATAATTATTTTTATCAAAACAAGCATATGTGTTTGTGTTTTTAATTATTTTAATTACAATATAAAGTTTCTGTCTTGCGCGTCCACTTCCTTTCTCTTTCTCTCTTGAAATGAAGAAAGACTTCAGTCAGGTCAACCCTTAATAATGAACTGAATTACATAAGCTAATTTCTCACTATGTTTTTTTTAATTCAAAGACTGTTAAAGCATTCCTATTTTGATAAATCCAAAGGAAGCGCCTTCTTTACATGGAAAATAAATTGTTGCTGAATTGGAAAATTACTAGGCAATTTAGTGATGATAATTTTAGTGATGATATGGGATGCAAGGCTGGTTCAACATACACAAATCAATAAATGTAATCCATCACATACACAGAACCAATGACAAAAACCACATGTTATCTCAATAGATGCAGAAAAGGCCTTCGATAAAATTAAACACTGCTTCATGCTAAAAACTCTCAATAAACTAGGTATTGATGGAATGTATCTCAAAATAATAAGAGTTATTTATGACAGACCCACAGCCAATATCATACTGAATGGGCAAAAGCTGGAAACATTCCCTTTGAAAACTGGCACAAGACAAGGATGCCCTCTCTCACCACTCCTATTCAACATAGTGTTGGAAATTGTAGCCAGGGCAATCAGAAAAGAAAAATAAATAAAGGGTATTCAAATAGCAAGAGAGGAAGTCAAATTGTATCTGTTTGCAGATGACATGATTATATATTTAGAAAACCCCATCATCTCATCCCAAAATCTCCTTAAGCTGATAAGCAACTTCAACAAATTCTCAGGATACAAAATCAATGTGCAGAAATCACAAGCATTCTTATATACCAATAATAGACAAACAGAGAGCCAAATCATAGTGAATTCCCATTCACAATTGCTACAAAGAGAATAAAATACCTAGGAATACAACTTACAAGGGATGTGAAGGACTTCTTCAAGGAGAACTACAAACCACTGCTCAAGGAAATAAGAGAGGACACAAACAAATGGAAAAACATTCCATGCTCATAGATAGGAAGAATCAATATTGATTCATTTTTAAGAATTCATTTTCTGAGATTGATTTCCTTATTCAATTGAATATCTTGTCAGATGAATATTTATTCCAGAGTTTTTATATTTTAGTTCTTGCTTTTTTTTCTGGATTGCTCTTATTCAGAACTGACTGAAAGTTTTGTTGGTTCATTGATTAAATCATAGTAAGATTCTTGAGTTTAAGAAGTCAGCTCCAAAATAATGATTGTGTAAATAGTCGTTTTGAAAGGGAAAGAATGGATTTTGCTATGTTTGGAATTATTTCAGAACTTTCCAGAAGCCTGGCATCTATTGTATAGTATATAACTACCATTACAATAGAAACCAGAATTGTGAAAGAGCTCCTTTCTATTCCCTTTCAGTTCTGTGATTTTGTGTTTGGAATCTTCGTTTAAACTTGCTTTATTAGAATATGTTTGTATACTTAGTTATCTGCAAAAGGTAAGCACTGGAGGCTTACAGCTTACTCTGGGATCCCTCTGCAGTGTGTGTGTGTGTGTGTGTGTGTGTGTGTGTGTGTGTGTGTGTGTGTATAAACGGTTTTAAACCAATAGTTATTAAAATATATGAGTATTTTTAGTAAAAACAAAACCCCTTAACCACATCGAGAGCTATGCCACAGGTTTTTAAAAAGCTGTCCGAATTTATCGATATCCAGATTTCAGGTATTTATTTAAAGACAAAATAGTACCTGCGGTCTTCTAGCAAACTGAGTGGATAATATTTCAAAGGAACAAAAATAAAGACATTTAAAGTTAAGCATAGGCCTTTAAATATATTCTTAGACTAAGCGATAGTGCTAGTTCTTTGTCAGTCCAGGCAGCTTTATAATTTTCTCACTGCTGATTTGTGTACCAATAAAGGACACTTGAAACAACATCTGTTTTTCAGTGAAAGGAAGTTTAACTCTCATGCAGAAAAAGCAGTATTTTCAGCATTTGTCACTTAAACAAATAGAAATGAGTTTAACAAAATGTTTGGTTCAGACAAAGCACCAAATAAATGTTTTATGCTTGTTTTATTCTTATTCTAACATCAAGTCCTCCCTCCAGTGGCTGCTGTTACAGCATTTTCCTTTTTCACCTTATTTTGGAAAAACAAGGAAAATCATTATTTTTTCTCGGAATTGAAGTCCATTTTTACATCATGTTGAAGGACTGAGAGATAACCGTCTGTGGGAAACTTTCTTTTATAATTAAATGAACCCATCCTTTAGCAACCAAAGGGACAGATTATTCTGAATTGAATTCTCAGCCTTCATTTTTCGTTTGCAAGGTGCTTATAACTGCCCCTTAGCCCAGCATTTTAAAAAATTTAATTTCTTATACATCTTCAAAGGCTGATTTTACTTATTATACTTACTAGTGGAAATATGCCAAAGAAAAGTGCTTAAATGACACTTGAGATTTTCAAAAGGGCTTACTTTTATTTTATTTTACATTTTATTACTTTTTTGAGACAGGGTCTTGCTCTGTTGCCCAGGCTGGAGCACAGTGGCATGATCATGGCTCAGTGTAACGTCAAACTCCTGATATCTGCTGCCTCACCCTCCCAAGTAGCTGGGACTACAAGCACATGCCAATGCATCTGGCTAATTTTTAAATTTTTTGTAGAGATACCGTCTTGCTATGTTGCCAGGGCTGGTCTTGAACTCCTGGCCTCAAGCAATCCTCCCGCCTTGGCCTCCCAAGGTGCTGGGGTTATAGGTGTCAGCCACTGTGCCTGGCCCAATAGTTGCATTTTAAAATATTTTATTATAAGATGTAGGGCATTATTATTTTTTAAGTCAAGTTTTAAACAATATTTATAGTTTGTCTTTTGTAATAGCGGATGTAAAAGTTTCTGAGGTAATAAATTTTTACTCAAAATACTAGTTCCGTTTGAAAACAGGCAAGGAATCAATTGGGTTTTAGTAACAATATGTTATTGATATATAGCTGCTCTGAGGTTTACTCAGTACCTGTTTATCCTTTTTTAGAATAACTGCTTCTATCAGTTTTACTCATCAGCAGAACCTCCAACTTTCTCACTAAATAGATGGAACGGCACTGTCAGCATTATCCCTAAGAAATATGTCCCAAAGAACAAATTATAAAAGGCAATGCCACTAAAATTGTAGTATGGTCATGAGTCACTTAATGTTGGGGATATTTTCTGAGAAATGTGTTGTTAGGTGATTTCATTGTTGTGCGAACAGCATAGAGTGTACTTACACACACCTAGATGTTATAGTCTGTTACACACCTGGGCTACATATGGTATATATTGCTCCAAGGCTCCAAACCTATATGACATGTTACTATGCTGAATACCATAGGCAATGGTAACACAGTGGAATTTGTTTATTTAAACGTATATAAACATAGAAAAGGTACAGTAAAAATATAGCATGAAATATTTTTAAAAAAGGAACACCTTTATAGACCACTTAATGGAGCTTGCAGGCCTGGAAGTTGCTCTGAGTGAGTAAGTGAGTGGTGAGTGAATGTGAAGGCCTAGGACATTACTGTATACTACTGTAGACTTTATAAACACTGTACACTTAGGCTACACAAAATATATACAACTAGTTTTATTCAATAATAAACTAGCTTACTGTAACTTTTTTACTTTACAGTACACTTAGGCTACATGAAATATATACAACTAGTTTTATTCAATAATAAACTAGCTTACTGTAACTTTCTTACTTTTATAAATTTTAAAATTAATTTTTTTTTAAGAGATGGGATTTTATTCTGCTGCCCAGGTGGAGTGCAGTGGGTGATCATAGCTCACTGCAGATTCAAACTCTTGGGCTCAAGCCATCCTCCTGCCTTAGCCCCCCGAGTAGGTGGGATTACAAAGCGCGTCACCATGCCACATCAACTTTTTGACTTTTTTGTAATAATACTTAGCTTAAAACACATATTGTTCAGCTGTACAAAAGTATTTTCTTTCTTTATATCCTTATTTTGTAAGCTTTTTTCTATTTTCAAAGTTTATTTTTAAAACATTTTTGCCAAAAATGAAGACACAAACATACGTATTAGCCCAGGCCTACCCAGGGTCAGGATCATCAATAACACTGTCTTCTACTTCTACATCTTGTCCCGCTGGAAGATCTTCAGGCCAGCAACGCATATGGAGCTGCTATTTCCTATGATAACAATGCCTTCTTCTGGAATACTTTGTGAAGGACCTGCCAGAGGCTGTTTTACAGTTAACTTTTTTATTTTTTAAATAAGCAGTACACTTTACGTGAAAAGTATTGTGTAGTAAAAACATAGTCACCAGCAGGGGTCAGTGGCTCACTCCTGTAATCCCAGCACTTTGGGAGGCTGAGGCTTGTGGATCACCAGAGGTCAGGAGTTCAAGACCAGCCTGGCCACTGTGGTGAAACCCCGTCTCTACTAAAAATACAAATATTAGCCAGGCGTGGTGGCGGGCACCTGTAATCTCAGCTACTCGGGAGTCTGAGGCAGGAGAATCGCTTGAATCCAGGAGGCAGAGGTTGCAGTGAGCTGAGATCGTGCCATTGCACTCCAGCCTGGGCATCAGGAGCAAAACTACATGTCAAAAAAACAAAAACCAAACACATAGTCACCTAGTCGTTTATTATCTTTATCAAGTATTTACGTACTATATGTATTTGTATATGCTAAACTTTGATATGACTGGCAGTGCAGTATGTTTGTTTATACCAGCATCACCACAAACACATGAGTAATGTGTTGTATCATGATGTTATGCCAGCTATGATGTCACTAGGTGGTAGGAATTTTTCAGCTTCCTTATAATCCTATGGGGCCACTGTCTTAATATGCATTCTGTCATTAACCAAAATGTTGTTATGTGTTGTGTGACTGTATTTCTTTTGTTAATATTTTTGTCACTTATTTAAAGAACATATTGTTGATAAAAAAGATTGTGTGCAACCAAGGTTATTGTTGATTATATGTATGTGATATACTGATATAAAAGTGGCCTCCATATCTGTAATGCTTATGCAAGTTATATAGTATAATATAATTAACACCTATAAATTTACCCCTGAATCCAAGATTCAAAACACTATCAATAACTTGCATTGACTTATGTGCTTCTTCCCATCTCATGCCTTCTGTTCTTTCCCAGTGGTAATAACTATTGAATTTTGCATTTATTTTTTCTCTTGATTTTTCTTACGGTTTTATCACAATTTGTGATACTAATAATTTGTTTTAGTTTAGCTCAATATAAATGATATTGTTCTGTATGTAGTGTTCTAAGATTTGGTTTCCTCGCTAGTATTTTTGGAAAATTCATCTACGTTTTTGAGTGTAGTTGTGCTTCATTCATTTTTACCACTGTGTAATACTCATCTTTGCCCTGTTAATGTACTACAGTATATTTGCTCTCCTATAATTGGAGAACAGTTTTTTTTCCATTTGTTGTAGCCAAATTCTAAGATGGTCCCCAGTGATCTTTGCTTCTTGATATTCATGCCTTTGTATAAACTTCTACCACATTGAGTAGGGCTGCCTTCTGCCAGTAGGATGTCAAGGAAATGATGGTGAGACTTCTTCAGCTTTCCGCTTGCTTTACTGGATCTATCTTTCTTGAGAAAGCCCTCCCACATGGGCTTCTGCACAGATCTGTTTGAGTATGGGAGGCCCGTAACAACAATCAGTACCAATCATTTATTTATGTGAGTGAGCCATCTTGGAAGTGAATCCTCTGTCCCCAGTCAAACCTTCAGATGATTGCAGAACTTGCCAATATTCTGACTGCAATCTCATGAACTTGATTGAGAACTTCCCAGCTGAGCTGCTCCTAAATTTCTGATCTACAGAAACTGGGATTTTACAAATATTTATTGTTGCTTTGTGACACTGTGTTTTGAGGTAATTTGTTATGTAGTTACAGATAATGAATAAACTGACTGTTTTGATGATGGAAACATTTCGTGAACATTTTTATGTCTGTCCCCTGGTGTACATGTATAAGATCAGGTAGTGGACCAAGGTGTGAGATTGCTGGATAACTTGGATATCTCATGCTAGTTTTTTCCAGAGTAGTTTAATTTATCTTTTGACCAGAAACATGAATAAGAATCTGTATTATTCTGCATTCTTTTTAACTTTTGGTATTGTCGGACTTCTTAATTTTTTCTAATAAGTGTAAATATTTCATTGTGGTTGTATTCCTTGCCCCAACATCAAAGTAGTAGTCTCCTGTATTTTTCCCTAAGAGGTTTAAAGTTTGAGTTTCACATTTGTACCCTTAAACCATTTGAAATTGATCATGTATGAAGTGAGATAGGTATCTAATTTATTTCTTTTTCTTTTTTTAAAATTGTGCAGTTAACCAGTTTTTTCCAATTGTTAAAAAAATCCCTGTTTTCCCCAGTGATATGATGGTGTCATCTGTGTCATATGGATCTGTTATGTGGCTCTGTTTTGGAGTTCCATCCTGTTCTATTTGTCAATTTGTTTATTCTAGTATTAATGGCATGCTTTCTTAATTACTGTGAAACCTGGCAAGGCAATTCTTCCTATCACATTCTTTAGGAGTGTCTTATCAGTTCTTGGCGATTCTCTTTCCATGTAACTTTTTGAATTAGTTTTTCAAGTTCTGTGAAAAACATTTTGGGGTTTGAGTAGAATTCCCTTAGATCTACATATAAAGTAGAGGGAAATTGATATTGTCACACTGGTGAGTCTTTCTATTCATAGATACAGTATATTTTTTGTATTTCAGTCTTCTTTAATGTATTTCAGTAGCATTTTATCATTTTCTGAATATAGGTATAACATCTTTTGTTGGATTTATTTTAATCATGTAAGTTTTTAATTTTTGCTATTTTCTTTTCTTTTTTTTTTTTTTTTTTTGAGATGAAGTTTTGCTCCTGTTGCCCAGATTGGAGCGCAGTAGTGCAATCTGTGCTCCCTGCGACCTCTGCCTCTTGGGTTCAAGTGATTCTCCTGCATCAGCTTGCCAAGTAGCTGGGATTACAGGTGCCTGCCACCATGCCCGGCTAATTTTTGTATACTCAGTAGAGATGGGGTTTCACCGTATTGACCAGGCTGGTCTTGAACTCCCGACCTCAGGTGGATCCACCTGCCTTGGCTTCCCAAAGTGCTGGGATTACAGGCGTGAGCCACTGTGCCTGGCCAATTTTTGCTATTATTAATGATGTATTAAAAAACTGTGCTTTATAACTGATTGTTGCTAGTATTTGTAAATACAATTTTTTTAAAAAATATAAATCTTAGAGCAAGCCATCTTGTTGAATTCTCTTTTTATTCCTAATGATACAGAGATTCTTGTTTTTTTTTTTTTAGAGGACCTTGTTTTTTGATTCTTTTTGTTGTTTTAGATAGTTATATCATTTGAAAATAATGATAACTTTGATTTCCTTTTTAAAATTGTTACTGTGTTTTTATTTATTTTCAGTGTCCTACTGCATTGGATAGAATGTCAAACAAACTTTGAATAGAAGTGGTAATAGTAAAGTGGTAATGATGGGCATTCTTTTCTGGTTCTTGATTTTGAAGAGACTTTTACAAATATTTCATCATTAAGAGTAATTTTGTTGTAAGTGGTTATTTTTGTTTGCTTGTTTTTTTAACCTTTTTGTCAGCTTACAGACGTTTCCTTTGATTCCTAGTTTTCTATGACTTTTTTTCCAAAAATAGGTTTTGAATTTTATCAAATGCTTTTCTGTAGATATTGAAGTTATTATGGTTTTCTTTCTTTATATTCGTGAGTGGAATTTATAGATATTCTAATGTTTTGTATTGTGCTTCCTAGGGTTTACTACATAGGAGGATTCCTTGGGGGACTTGGCTGTAATGTTGGAAGGAGAAGTCTACTTGTAAAATTCTTGACTCTTATGATCATAGGAAGGGACTTTATCATTTTGTGCTTATGTAGAAAATACTAATGAGAGCCATTTGGCATACTGTGTTTAAGCATAGGTCTAATAATATAAATGGCTAACATTCAGCAAAGTGTCCTTGTGTTGGCAACTTCAGTGTCACAGAGTTTATTTCCTGTAACTAGCAGTATGGCTAAGCGATGGTGGTCTTTTGTGGGAAAAAAATATTTTGTAGAAAGCAGGAGGATTCGGAGCTTTGATTGGTTTTGGAACAGAAGAATTTTCCTGCTTCAAGTCCTTTGTTAATTTAGGTAAGATATGTATTATGTGTTTTGTTTTCTGGATAAAGTAAATAACCACTGTAACTTATATGGTAGTTTAAAAATGTGACTTGAAGTTTCAAATTTCTAATTCTCTTTTTTTAAGATCAGATATTTGTAGTATCACAGCAATATGAAGCCTTCTCTGAGTTTATCCTCCTGCTGGTCTCAGCATGTGAGGATTATTTAAATATACAAACATGAAATGCTATAAAGTATTATCACTTCATAAAGAATTGGGAAATTCTAGAAGCCAAAAAAAAAAAATCTATTCTGAAGGCACTTAAATTACATTCCCACTTGTTAACACATTTAGGTAAAATCAGACTTCACTGAAATTTTCCCCTTGAATAAATAGTAAGGAGTGCACTGTCAGTAGATACTGGATTTGAGTGGTACTTAAATGCCTTGTTTGCAGTACAATTATGATCTGCACAAAACTTAAATGTGCCATTAAACTTTATTGTTGGTGTCATTCATATGGCTTACTAGGCTTAATCAGCTGCTTGATTATATGCTCAAGTTTGTCTTCATTTTTCTTTTCTGTAGCAAATGGTACATTTCTAACTTCGAAGTAATTTGGTACAATGTCTGGGATCAATTATGATAATGATCAAAATAATAACAATAAAGTTATTACCAAATTTCAATTCTTGTTAGAAATTGGGTGGGATTGGGATGCTTTTAGGTGGTATGTGCTTAGGGGATTAACTGAATCATGACCAAAGTGAATTAGTGCTTCTACCAGGTTTTCATTGGAATTTGTATGCGAGGGATACTAATGGGCAAGGGAGGCAAATTACCATTGACAGAGAACTGCCAATGCAGAGAACTAGAACAAGCTAGACCAGTGCACTGTGATTTACAAAATCTTTATATAATGCTCCTCTTTTATACCTAGAAAATAATATGTTTGTTCTTAATATCTAGCTAGAGTATGCCTAGACAATTGCTAGCCTGGCTCTGGAGAGAGGGGTGATTAGGACATTACAAGAGAGAAGTTCTTTAAATGAGTCTGCCTGAAGTCTACTTCTTGCTTCTGTTTTATAGAACGTAAAGGGAAAGGTGAGTGGTTAGTGAGACAGTCAAGATTTTTTTTTTTTGAGACTGCCTTGACCTTTGGCATTAGAGCTGTAGAAAAGAGTTGGAGAGAGAACCATTTAATACATAGAGACACTACCCCAATGCAAGTGTATGTCTTTGAACCATTGGAATCATCACCTCAAAAAGAAACTACATACCTATTAACAGTCACACCCCATTTTTCTCTTCCCCCGACTCCTGAAAACTATTAGTCAACTTCCTATTTCTATGGATTTACCTGTTCTGGACATTTCATATAAATGGAATCGTACAATATGTGTGGTTTTTTTTGGTAATTGGCTTCATTTTGTAATTGTAATTAGCACATAATATTTTCATTTATGTCATAGCAAGTATCGGTACTTCATTCCTTTCTATTAAAGAATAATATCCTATTGTATGGATATACCATATTTTGTTTATCCATTCATCAGTTGACAGTCAGGTTGTTTCAACTTGTTGGCAATTATGAATAATGCTTCTGCGAACATTTGTGCATAAGTTTTGGTGGGGACATGTATTTTCATTTCTCTTGGGTATATACCCAGAAGTAGAATTGCTGGGTCATATGGTAACTCTGTGTGTAATATTTTGAGGAACTGCTCAACTGTTTTCTAAAGTGGCTGCATCATACCAGCAATTGTTGTCACACTAGCAATATATCAGGTATCCAGTTTCTTCTCATTGTCACAAACCTTGATTTATATTCCTTTTTGATTATAGCCATGCTAGTTATTGTGCATTAGGTATCTCATGTGGTTTTGATTTGCATTTTTATAATGACTAATGATATTGAGCATCTTTTATGTGCTTTTTGGCCATTTGTATATTTGAAGAAATGTATACTTATATAATCTGCCCACTTTAAAATTTTTTTATTATTGAGTTGCAAGAGTTCTTTATATATTCTGGATACATCTGGTCTCTTAACATCACAATTTTTTTTGCTTAATATTCAGAAAACCGTTAGAAAAGGACATTGTTATAGCTTAGATTTTTTGGAAGCAGATGCTGAGACAGAATTTGGGGTATAAAATATTTTTAGAGATCAGGACTTGCGAAAGGAAGGAGAACAGGATTGGTCAGAGGGAAAAGTTGAATTTACATGGAGACCTGGCAAAACCTCAACCAACCTGGCAGCAAGCTCTGGAGCAAATATTGCCTATCGGGGTTGTCCTGCATCAGGCTGAAATGGCTGGGCCTTCATATTACCACTTGACTTAATCACTGAATGAGGGTCAGCAGTGGAAAGGTATGACCTAGGATGAAGCAGCACTTTGCACCTGAGGCCAGCTCTGAAGTGATAAACAGATGGAGTCTGTTTGCTAACTGCACTCTCTAGCTGAGCAGCACATTCTCCTTGAAGGGGCATCTGGATGGTTCACATGCATATTATATTTTAAAATCTATGTTGAACCTCGAGTTCACTAAGTTTAACAGAGATTCTGGGAGAATGTTTATGGGATGAGAAAATTGAAAATTTGATACCGATTTTGCAAATGTGTTATTACTGTTATTTCATGGTATAGGCTGCTTTGAAATCTTCTGAAGATAATTTGGCCTGGAGTTATGTACATTTATAATATTGTTTATGTTTTATTATTTATTTTTACTATAGAATTAGAGTCTCTTAAGTAGTTTATATGATGCTCATAATTGCCTCATATAATAGCAATTTTTTATGTTTGTTTGACATACTCTGTTTTTCTAAAATTTTGAGTGTGGTATATTCATTTTGAGAATTATTTTATCTTTGGCCATAGTTTTCCCATATCTGCTACATATTATGAAAACCTCATAAAGGGCTATTTAAATTTTTTTCTTTTGAAATTTGATTCAGAATAGAGAATCATCTTAGTCTTTGTTTAATTTCTTAAGTTTTAACATTGTCACAGATATTCTAAGATTTTATATTCCCGTCTTGTTGAGTTTCTGTCTTTTTGCTAGCCAAAAAGCAATGCAATACCTAAACAGATGATTACCAATTTGGGGACCTATTAAAAATACATAGTAGTGCAATACTATTTCTTTTAAAATACTTTTATTTGATATCTCTTAACTTTTGGCCCTTTTTTCAGATGCTTGTTTTGCCAAAGTATTGGGAGAGATATGATAAGTAATTTTTATCAGTCTTAATTCTGAATAGCAAACTAAATATACTAAGATAGTTTTGGTTGACAACTTTAGTCTGTAGATATCTATGTCCAATTTGCCCAAACTCCAAATTGTAATACTTCCTAATAACAGAAATTAGTACATAACAGTAGGTGTGAATTTTCTGCAGAATGAAGAAACTGAAATTATTTTTCTGGTGAAGTTGTGTTGTTTGGCTGTATCAACATGGTAGAATAGAAGAAACTCATTCATAATTAGGAGTCAGAAGACCTGAGTTAGAATCTCAGCTACCCCTTAACATCTGAGATGCCTTAACCAGGCTCACTTAGCTTTTCAAAGCCCACAATGCCTTATCTCCATAAAATGCCTACCCCTGACAGTTGTGGCAATGACCTAATCAGATAATGGATAAGAATAGAACTGGTCATCTTGTGACCAATGTATACATTTATGAAATAGTTGGAAGAGTGTTCTTCCTTAGGCAAATGAAGGTGGAACCCACATATGTGATCTTTGTTCAAGCATGCATTTTAATAAGATTAAAGGAATGTAAAGGAATGTAAATATAATGAAATGAATGTAAGTATAACTTATGTCCAAAAATTAAGTTCCATTATAATTATTTTCAATATAGTCTTGGAAACCCAAGTTAACAGATATTTGTTGTGAGACTTTATTATTTGTGCATAGAGTTCATCCAAGTGATGCATATTAAAAGGTTTTTATTTCTGTGAATTGATTGATTTTGGTATTCTGGCAGTTTGAGCACAAATTAGTTGGAATCTAGTTATTTCAGATTTTATGTGGATTACTAATATTTTTAAAGGGATTTATAGTTTGTAAAATGCTTTCATATACATTTTTTCATGTAATCTTCATAATAGTCCTGCAAAGGTAACTGCTCTTATTTTCATGATTCTTCCCATTACTTAGGTTAGAGAAGTTGTAACTTTCTCAAGGTCACTTAGCTACTAGATGGTGGAACTGAAATTAAAAACCTAGATTTCTCATTCCAAACCTACTATATCATGTTGCTTGGGAAACTAAGGAATTATTTTAGATATACTTGGATTGGAACCTGGTATTCCTAGTCTCAGGAGCAAAGAGGTTTGGCTCCAAAACTTTGATCCAAACGCAATTTTGCATTTGTTATAAAAGCCACCATTTTCTACGCACCAGGGGCCCTTATTACCCTGGGCTTTGTCTCGTGTCTGCTCAGCCTGATGTCTTCATTCTTCAGCTTCTTTCCCAGTGCCCACACACCAACGTTTTTCTCACTGCAGCCTCAGAATAATGCTGTCCAGCATTACTATGAACTAGCCTTTGCTGATGAGCAACCGATGAATATTTTAACTGTAATTTGGGTGGGTCTTTTGGTTCCTTATAAATCCCTTGTGCCAATTCTATTTACTGTAATTTCAGTTGCAAGTAGGCTATTTTGAACTTGATTTCTAGAGTCTCACTTAGTGAGCATAGAATCTTTAGGGCTAGACTGGAACCAAACCAGTCCTGGGAACCTCAGAAAATTAACCCAATTTTACGTGTTCTGTGATATATTTTGTACTTTCATCAATGCATTCAGAATGTGAGATGAAAAGGGCTTCTGTTGCAAAATCACGTATATCTAGTTCGTATTTAATACCTGACTAAAAACAAACAAATGTAGAAAAAAATAAGGCTTTTGTGTATCTTTCTGTACATTTTATAAGTGCATATGCCACATTTTGTGCCAACGGGGCAAATAAGAAGTATTCTACTGTTTCATATTTTCAAATGCTGACTGGATAAAGATTACACATGACAAGTTATTTATAGCTTTATACATAGTAGATTCTCTGTTGGAATCATAGAAAGGAAAGGGATATGATAATTGCTTTGTGTAGTTCACAGAATAAAATGGCAAACTGAGATGTTTTGAATCTAGTTTGTACTGTAACCATTTCTAGGAAACCATATTTAAACAGCAGTGGTTATCATGAAGTATACAACATGTCAACTGTGTCCCAATTCACATCAGTAAAAACCTTCCACCGCTTTATTCTCTATAACCTAACCTCCATCAGATAATGCCAAATAAACTATGTCGAGTGCATGTATTAATATATATCAAATGTGCCAACAGCTTGCTGGCTGCATTTTCAGTAGTGTTTATCTGTGGTCATGCAGGTTATAACTCTGAATTTTTATTAGGAAAACTAAATTGAGAATTTATAATGTTCTTGATTGAGCTTCACCAGCTGTGCCACAGCCAGGAAAAATAACTCAGGAGGGTAAAAATCTAACACTATGTTAAGAGAGCAACAGACAAATTGCTTTTGCTTCATGCTTACCTGCTTTGCAACTGCTACTGTAAAGTTTAGGGTCACATGTAATAATTAATTTTTTTTTTTTTTTTGAGACAGAGTCTCGCTTTGTCAACCAGGCTGGAGTGCAGTGGTGTGATCTTGGCTCACTGCAACCTCTGCCTCCCAGGTTCAAGGGATTCTCCTGCCTCAGCCTCCCGAGTAGGTGGGACTACAGGCGTGTGCCACCACACTCGGCTGATTTTTGTGTTTTTAGTAGAAACGGGGTTTCACCATGTTAGCCAGGTTGGTCTCCATCTCCTGATGTCGTGATCTGCTTGCCTCAGCCTCCGAAAGTGCTGGGATTACAGGCGTGAGCCACCGCGCCCAGCCAATAGTCTTTTAACTTATATGTTATTACTCCAGCAAATTGCTTTGTGAGTTTTTAGGTTGTCTCATATAAAACATGATTATTAATTTTTATTTAATCTTCAGAATCTTGAAAGTGAATCATTGAAATATGAATTTTGATAATGACCCTAGCACTGAATACATATTTATAATTTTACCTTTGTTAAACCAGTCACAATGACATAATTATATGTATTGTTCTGTTCAGAAATCGGACAATTTGGGGCCAATGAAAAATAATCTAATAGTTTATATTTGGAAGAAATACTGAGTTAGTGAAGGGAAGTCTCCTGGAGGTAGTTAACTTAGTTGTAGAATATTTAGCAAAGGGTGCTGTGTGGAATTCCTCATTAAGAACATTTCTCTTTAATTTCTGCTACAAGATGATGTGTAATAAAAAGTTGCTGGTGAAATTTGTGCACTATCATGTGGGACTTCACTAATTCCTGAATGGAAATATATATCCCTTGCAGATATTTGTTTGTTTTGACATTATTGTAATTATCAGTCTAGGTCTGATGTATTTTCTTTGTGGCTGCTTGGCAGTTTGATTTGGCAGCTACAAAGTAAGCCATAGGAGGGCAGTGACCATATTTGTTTTACTCACCATAGTACCCCCAGAGTCTTGTACATTGCCTACCTTATATACTAGGATGTATTTCTTGAAGGGATATAGACACATTTTATTCATGTAGAAATTATAGAGTTTTGAGTTACCTATACAAAGAAGAAAAATAAGAGTCACTTATGCTAAGTGAAAGGGCTTTCCCAGTGAAAAGTAGCTACATTCTAGGTATTCCTTTTAGAATATCTCACACCATTGAGTAACAGTAAGATGGCTAGTTATAGAAATGATTGGCTATATATACCTTCTGTACTATTTAATGTTGAAGCGACATTTCGTAAATGAAGAAACCAAAGAATTTGGATATGACTGGCCACGGAGATGTTATTAAGTGATGAAGCCGTGATTTGTTTACAGCAATTAAAAAAAATAAGCTAACATGGATGTTGTGCACATAATTATGGATCAGACATTATATGAAATGTTTTACATTTAACCTCACTGTAACACTATGAGGGAAACATGATTATCATTTCCATTTTACAGATGTGGAAAATGAGGCCCAGAGAAGTTAAATAATTTGTCAAGGGCTCATCGGTAGTTCTTAGTGGAGCCAGAGTGCCCTTTCTCTTATAGCACATCACCTACAGTTAGACTTGACACAAGGGCAGCATTGATTATGGCCATTTGGAACATTCATAGTTTTAAATTATTTATTTTCAGTATTAGTTTTTTAAAAAGTATTTTCTGTTACATTCTGCTGATTATGGAAATAGATCTGTTTTTAAAGATAATTATAAAATGTACTGCTGAACGGAAACTGAAATTTACCTTATGGATAGCAAGTCAAATTTGATTCCTCAGAGGAATATTCAATCTTGTTATATTGTCATGAATGTAGTTTTTATATAATTTCATTAACAGTTTTGGATTAATGGATTAAATGTAGTTTAAATTTTCACATTGTAGGAGATACACTTTTTTTCCTTTTAAACTTTAGGAAAAATAGTTGCTTTACTGTTCATGGGGACCCTGGGAAAAGCCATTCCCATTAAAAAGGGAAGTTTTAATGCCTTCCCTTTGGCCAAAGTAGAGCAGAATTCGATTTTAATAAATCCTGATTTTATAGTATGGTTGTTTACTGGAGTGCCATTTAGAGAGGATGGCTTCCAGACACTGATGACATCGTTTCATTTAAAAAGGGCTAATTTTTCCCTGAAAGTTGTATTTTTAATTACACTATAGGAAATTTGTAGATACTTTATATATTTACGTATTTGCATCCTCCTATCTGCTTGTTCCAGAAGGAAGACATTCTGACCTTGTAAATGGCCCATGCTTACAATTTATTTTAAAAGAAATTTTAGGTTTTTGGAACTACCCAAAGATATTTTTTAAAAACATTAGGTGATAGGTAACTAAAACTAAATGGTAAGTTTGGCTAAATTCAGCAAACATTAGGTAACTGTAATGTATAAGGTATTGTGTTTGGTGGACATGAGAGAAAGATGACAAAAACTTGATGTCTGTATTCCTGTGGCTTGTATGCCATTAGCTGACTCAGATAAATTCATAAATAAGTATAATGCAAAGCAGACAATAATAAGTACTATGGCATAGGCATCAACAAAGTGGGAAATTAGCATAGAGAGATTAATCCTGACTGGGAGGATCAAGGAAGTTCTCGTGGAATAGATAGGTTTTGAGTAGAACTTAATTTATTGCTTTCATTCATTCTAGACTGTCTTCTGAAGATTGATGTCTATTTCCTTGAGCTCTTTAATTTTGTTGCCAATTTGGATAAACATGGCACAAATCCAGCAGGGAGGTCCAGATGAAAAAGAAAAGACTACCGCACTGAAAGGTACATACTTAATTTGCTTTTTCAGGAAATTTTCATTGTGCCTAATAAAGGTGTAGGAATATTTAGGTGACCTTCCATTCATTTCAAATCTAAAATAAGAATATAAGTACCTAAAGTATTTGCAATTATTTATATCCCTCACAGCAACTATTACTGCATCTGAGATGTATGTACTCAGTAAATAAATCACGGGATCATGTAATTTTGCATCTATAAGAATTATTAATGCTTTTCTTACTCAATGTCATACATTTAATAATAAAATTAATAAGTTTTTTGAATCAAGGCTAGTGCCTTTACCTTATGTTTTCTGCTTGGAATGTCATACTGGATTAGGGTAATGATCTGTCTGTTTCTGTATTCTGCCTTTGTGGCATTGGCATTACTGATATTTTATGAGAGGTTTATACATGTTAACGTTTTGGAAGGAATCTGCGTTAGACATTGTTATGGAAATTTGAATCCTAGAATTAAAAAATAAATCTGCTATCTAAAGTAATTTGACTTCGAAAAGAAGTGTCTGTTGTTGAATTGTGAGATAGCTATGGGCACTGAGACCTTTAGGGTCAGGAAGCTGAGCAGAAAGTAGCAAAAGAGGCTGAAAAGTAATTTTTAGTAAAATAGGTTAAGAATCAGGAACAAGGGAGAGATCCCGAATACCAAATGAAAAAATTAAATGGGAGTAATTAATTAAAGTCATATCTGGTGATGGGTCAGATTAGATGAGAACTGAGAATTTACTTTTGCCTTTGACCATGTGGAGGTCATTTGACCTTCACAAAGAGCTGTTTCAATAAATAGAAATGAAAGCCTGATTGGAGAACTTTCAGCAGAGAATGGAAAGAGAGGAATTGGAGACAGCTGTAAACAACCCTATAGAAGGTTTTACTGCATGCTTGTATGTTGCTGGGAAGGATCCAGCACGCTCAGAATAATGGACAATTTAGGAGTGAGGGCAAGTAATGTATGTCACAGTTTCTGTCTAAATAGACATGCTGGGTTTCCACCTAGATAGATTTTGTGCATGTTCAGCCTTAATGTGAAAATTTGATCTCCCAAGTTGTGGTTCTGATTTGTACTCCTGCAAGCAGTATGTGAGTTCAGATTGATTTTCTGGATTTTAGAGGTAGTACAGTGATGTTAAAAGAGTAGATAGGTTCTAGAGATAGAACTATCTGGATTCAAATTCAAGGTTTTCCTTCTTAACATGAACAAGTTGCTTAACTTCTCTGGATCTTGTAACTATCTGGATTCAAACTCAAGGTTTTCCTTCTTACCATGGGCAAGTTGCTTAACTTCTCTGAATCTTTCTCTTCATCTGTACTATAGGAATAATAATGCTGGGTACAAATGGGGGTGTAAGGGTTAAGGGAGGAGTAAACTGGAAATATTAGAAAATAAAATGGCAAATGCATAGTAAAGTATATTTTAGAACAAGTTAGCAAACTGATTTGTTCTAAACTTAACAGGAAGACAGTTTTATTCTTGAGTTTATTCAAAACCGAGCTATGATATGTAAAACAGTGAACTAATGATGATCACTCTCTGCTGTTCATTAGAGGATTTCACGTTTACATGGCAAGATGCACTCTTGGAGGTGATTTAACTTTTCCCTAATTGAAAAGTGCTTCAGATAAGGCATAGATGGTAGAAAAATCTCATAAAAATATATTAGTGGTGAGAAAAATGTCAGGTACAACTCAAGATGAGCGGGGTTAAAGCAGTGCATGCTGGAAGAAAGTAGTTTGAATTAGTTTGCTGTAATAATGAAGATGGTAAGGAAGATGGTGATGACTGTTATAATTAAAGGAAGGCATATTATTCACAAGAAAGTTATGTCATCTCTTTTGGAGATGGCAATGAAGATATGCTTGTAAAGAATTCTTGCATTTCTTAAAAATATTACTTTTTCCCTTGGCCAGTTTTACAGGGTTTTAGTTTACTGCCTCTTACTGATTTGTTGACCCATTTTACCTGGATTTCTGAAAATATGTTCTGTATCTAGTCCTCTTAGTTCGTATGTATTAGTTTTTATTTACCACCGCCCTCTAACCCCAGGCCCCTTCAAAAATGCCTGCATTTTGCTATAGTGCCTTTATTAAAAATTATTCTGGACATTAATGTTGAGTTGTTACGATCATTATTTGTCATAGCCTAATGGTAACATCTTATATGGCTAATAGTACATCAAAACCAAGATATTGGTACAGTACTGTTAACTAAAACACGGTCATTATTCAATTTCCATTAGGTTTTGTATGCAGTAATTTGTGTGTGTGTGTGTGTGAGTGTGTTTGGAGTTCTGTGCAATTCGATCCTATGTATTGTGTTGTGCAACCATGACCACAAACATTCAAGATACAGAAGTGTTCCACCACTAGCAAGTCCCTTCTGTTACCCATTTGTAGGAATGTCCCCAACTGCCAACTTCATCTCTGTCTCCTGGCAATCATTAATCTGTTCTCCATCCCTTTAGTTTTGTCATTTTATAGATGTTATAGAAATGGAATCATAAGGTATGTAATTTTTTGAGATTGGCTTTCTTCAATAAGTATAATGCCTTTGAGATCCATCCAAGTTTTTGTAAATATCAGTAGTTCATTTGTGTTTATTACCGATGAGTAATATTCCATTGTCTAGATATGCCATTTTGTTTAACCATTGACCCATTGTAGGGCATTTGGATTGATTCCAGTTTTTGATTATTAGAAATAAATTTACTGTGTGTATTCATGTATAAGTTTTTATGTGAACATAAGTTTTCATATCTCTGGGTTAAATGCCCAAGAATGTGATTGCTGGGTCATATGGTAATTGCATTTCTAACTTTATAAGACAATACCAAATTATTTTCCAGAGTGGCTGTACCATTTTACATTCCCACCAGTCACGTATGAAAGAACCACTTTCTCTACATCCTCCTCAGCATTTGGTATTATTACTATGTTTTAGTTTTAGCCATTTTATTAGGTACATAGTGATATCTCACTAGTGATGTTGACCATACATCTTTTCATGTGCTTATTTGCCATCTATACCTTGTCTCTGGTAAAATACCTATTCGTATTTTTTGTCCATTTTCTAAATGGAGTTTTTAAAACTATTGAGTTTTGATAGTTCTTTATATCTTCTAGATACAAGTCTCTATTGGATATATTCTTTGTGAATATTTTCTCTCAGTTTGTAGCTTGTCTTTCACCCTCTTAACAGGTCTTTCGTAGGGCAAACATTTTTAATTCTGATGAAGTCCTGTTTATCAATTTTTTCTTTTATAAACTGTGCATTTAGTGTCATGTCAAAGAACTCTTTCCCTAGTCCTAGTTTATGAAGGTTTTCTCCTATGCATTCTTCTAAAAGTTTTGTTTTATATTTCACATTTAAATTAATGATCTATTTTCAGTTAATTTTTAAACATATATTAGTAGGTTTCGTTTCATTGCTGAATTTTATTCTGTTGAATGAATAAACTATATTTTACTTATCCATTTGCCAAATGTTAGACATTTGTGTTGTTTCCAGGGTTGGGTGATTATGAATACAGTCTTTAAAAACATTCATCAACAGGTTTTTATGTGGATATTTATTTTCATTTGTCCTGAGTTGATACCTAGGGGGAGGACTGCTGGGTAATATGGTACGTCTACAGTAACTTTGTAAGAACTAGAACACCACTTTTCAAGGTACCTGTATTATTTTTCACTACTACCAATAATGTATGAGAGTTCTCTTAGTTTGGCATCTTTATCAGCAATTAATATTGACAGGTTTGTTGACTTTTTTTCTCATTGTCACAGGTTTTTGTTTCTATGTGGTTTAATTTGCATTTTCCTAATGGTGAATTATATGCCATATATACATCTTTCTTGGTAAAGTCTAGAATTTTGCCCCCTTTTTTTGTTTGTGTTCTTATTGTTGAGTTTTAGAAGTTGTTCATATGTTCTGAATACAACTTCTTTTTAAGATATGTGATTAGTAAACATTCCCAGTCTTTGGATTGTCTTTTCATTCTCTTTGTTTTATTGATATGTGTTTGTACATACTTATGGGGTACATGTGATATTTTGTTATATGCATAGAATGTGTAATGTTCAAGTTAGGATATTTCCATTATCCATTGCCCCAAGTGTTTATGATTTCTATGTGTTGGGAACATTTTAAGTCCTCTCTTCTAGCTATCTTGAAATATATAATACTTTGTTGTTAACTTTAATCACCCTATATGCTATTGAACATTAGAACTTATCCCTTCTATCTAACTGTATGTTTCTACCCATTAAAAAAACTCTCTTCATTGTTTCCTTCTGTGCACCATCACCCACACACTTCTCTGATAGCTATCATTCTACTCCCTACTTCCATGAGATCAACTTTTTTATCTCTCACATGTGAGTGAGAACATGCACTGTGTCTTTCTGTACCTGACTTATTTCACTTAACACAGTAACTTCCAGTTCCATCCATCTTGCTACAAATGACATGATTTTATTCTTCTTATGGATGTATAGTTTTCCTTTTTGTATATATATATCACATTTCTTATGGTCAAATAGTATTCCATTGTGTATATTATATCACATTTTCTTTATCCATTCATCTGTTGATGGACTCTTAGGTTGATTCCATATCACTGCTATTGTGAATAATGCTGCAATAAACATGCAATGCAATTATCCTTTAGATATACTGATTCCTTTTCTGTGAATACATACCTAGTAGTGCACATGCTGGCTTGTATGGTAGTTCCATTTGTAGTATTTTGAGAAATGCCCATACTGTTTTCCATGGAGGTTATACAGATTTACATTCTTAACAACAGTGTATAAGAATTCCCTTTTCTCTACAGCCTCATCAGCTTCTGTTATTTTTTGTCTTTTTAATAATAGCCATTCTAACTGGGGTGAGAGGATATCTAATTGTGGTTTTAGCTTGCATTTCCCTAATGATTAGTGAAATTGAGTGTTTTTTAACATACCTATTGGCCATTTGTATGCCTTCTTTTTAGAAATGTTTATTTATGTCCTTTGCCCACGTTTTAATGGGATTATTTTTTGTTTTTTACTGCTGAATTGTTTGATTTCCTTGTGTATTCTGGATTATCAATACTTTGTTGGATAAATAGTTTGTGAATATTTTCTCCCATGCAATAGTTTGTCTCTTCATTCTGTTAATTGTTTTCTTTGCTGTGTAGGAGCTGTTTAGTTTAATGTAGTCCCATTTGTCTTTTTTTGTTAATGCTTTCTCAAAAGGCTTTAACCATAAAAATCTTTGCCTAGACCAGTGTCCTGAAATGTTTCCCCTGTGTTTCATTCTACTAGCTTTGTAATTTCAGGTCTTACATTTAAATCTTTAATCCATCTTGAGTTGATTTTTATAGATGAATGATGGGGCTCCAGTTTCATTCTTCTACGTATAGATATTTAGTTTTTCCAGAATCATTTACTTAAGAGGGTGTTCTTTCCCCAGTGTATAGTCTTGGTGCCTTTGTTGAAAATCAGTTGACTGTAAATATGTGGATTTATTTCTGGGTTCTCTATACTGCTATTCTGTTCCATTAGTCTATCTATCTATCTATCTATCTATCTATCTATCTATCTATCTATCTATCTTTTTAAGACAGAGTTTCACTATTGTTGCCGAGGCTGGAGTGCAATGGCACGATCTCGGCTCACTGCAACCTCTGCCTCCTGGGTTCAAGCGATTCTCTAGTCTCAGCCTCCTGAGTAGCTGGGATTACAGGTGCCCACCACCACACCTGGCTCCTTTTTTTTTTTTTTTTTTTTTTTGTATTTTTAGTAGAGACGGGGTTTCACCATGTATGCCAGGCTGGTTGGTCTTGAACTCCTGACCTCAAGTTGAGAGACAGGACTAGCTGGATTTCCTAGGCCTACTAAGAATTCCTAAGCCTAGCTGGGGAAGGTGACTGCACCCACTTTTAAACATGGGGCTTATAACTTAGCTCACACCCGACCAATCAGGTAGTAAAGAGGGCTCACTAAAATACAAATTAGGCTAAAGGCAGGAGGTAAAGAAATAGTCAAATCATATATTGCCTGAGAGCACAGGGGGAGGGACAGTGATCTGGATATAAACCCAGGCATTCGAACTGGCAGTGGCAACCCCCTTTGGGTCCCCTCCCATTTTATGGGAGCTCTGTTTTCACTCTATTAAATCTTGCAACTGCATACTCTTCTGGTCCATGTTTGTTACTGCTCGAGCTGAGCTTTCGCTCCCCATCCACCACTGCTGTTTGCCACCTTCGCAGACCTGCCACTGACTTCCACCCCTCCGGATCTGGCAGGTGTCCGTTGTGCTCCTGATCCAGCAAGGTGCCCATTGCCGCTCCCAATTGGGCTAGAGGCTCGCCATTGTTCCTGCATGGCTAAGTGCCCAGGTTTGTCCTAATTGAGCTGAACACTAGTTGCTGGGTTCCACAGCTTCTAATAGAGCTATAACACTCACCGCATGGCCCAAGGTTCCATTCCTTGGAATCCGTGAGGCCAGGAACCCCAGGTCAGAGAACAAAAGGCTTGCTGCCATGTTGGGAGTAGCCCACCACCATCTTGGGAGCTGTAAGAAAAAAGACCTGCCGGTAACAAAGTGATCCGCACACTTCGGCCTCCCAAAGTGCTGGGATTACAGGCATGAGCCACTGTGCCTGGCCTTACAAGTCTTTTATTTTTAAAATAATAATATTATGCTGTTTTGGTTACTGTAACTTTGTAATGTATTTCGAAGTCAGGTTAGCATGATCTCTCCAGCTGTGTTCCTTTTGCTCACATTGTTTTGGCTATTTGAGCTCTTTTTTGTTTCCATTTGAATTTAGTGTTTTTTGTTTTTCTCTATTTCTGTGAGGAATGTCATTGGTATTTTAAAAGGGATTGCGTTGAATCTGTAGGTTGCTTTGAGCAGTATGGTCATTGAATTATTCCAGTCTATGAGCATGGAATGTCTTTCCATTTGTCTGTGTCCTCTTCAATTTCTCTCATTAATGTTTTATAGTTTTCCTTGTAGAGGTTTTTCACCTCTTTGGTTAAATTTATTCCTAGGTATTTTTCTTATAGCTGTTGTAAATGAGTTTGCCTTTTTGATCACTTTCTCAGCTCATTTATTATTGGAATTTAGAAACACTAATGATTTTTCTATGTTGATTCTATATACTGTTATTTATTGAATTTATAAGAGCTACAAGTTTATTGGTGGAGTCTTTAGGTTTTTCTATATATAAGATTATATCAGATGCAAAAGGACAATTTGACTTCTTTTCCAATTTGGATGCTTTTTATTTTGTTCTCTTGCCTGATTTTTCTGAAAAGGACATTCTGTACCATGCTGAATAGGAGTAGTGAAAGTGGGCATCCTTGTGTTGTTCCAGTTTTTAGAGGAAAAGCTTTCAACTTTTCTCCATTCATTATGATGTTTGTTGTGAGTTTGTTACATATGACCTTTATTATGTTGAGATATATTTTTTCAATGCCTACTTTGTTGAGAGTGTTTTTATCAGGGAGGTTGTTGAATTTTATCAAATGCTTTCACTGCATCTACTGAGATGATCATATGGTTTTTGTTCTTCATTCTGTTGATGTGCTGTATCACACTAATTGATTTGCATATGTTGAACCATCCTTGCATTTCTAGGTAAATCCTACTTGATAATGATGTGTTACCTTTTTGATGTGCTGTTGAATCTGGTTTATTGTTATTTTATTGAGTAATTTTACACCTATGTTTGTCAGGAATATTGGCCCGAAGTTTTCTTTTTTTGTTGCAATCTTGTCTGGTTTTGATATCAAGGTAATTCTAGCCTTATAAAATGAGTTAAGGAGAGTTCCGTTCCCTCCTCTTCATTTTTTTGGAATAGTTTGAGGAGAAATTGTGTTAGTTTTTCTTTAGACATTTGGTAGAATTCAGTAGTAAAGCCATATGGTCCTGAACTTTTCTTTGTTGGGAGACTTTTTATTACTATTTGATCTCATTACTCACAACTGGTCTGTTCAGGTTTTCTATTTCTTCCTGATTCAATCTTGGTAGATTTTATTTGTCCAGGAATTTATTCACTTCCTGTAGGTTTTCCAGCTTGTACAGTTGTTTATAATAGTCTGTTATGACCTTTTCTATTACTGTGGTAATTGTATTGATTCCTTTATCATTACTGATTTTATCTGGGTCTCCTGGGTTTTTATGTGTGTGTGTGTGTGTGTGTGTGTGTGTGTGTGTGTGTGTGTGCTTAGTCTGGCAAGCTGTTTAGAAATTTATCTTTTTCAAAAAAGTTACCTTTTATTTTGTTGATTTTTTTATCTGTATTTCATATAATTCTGCTCTTTATTATTTTATCCTTTCTAATTTTGGGTTTGGTTTTTTCTTCTCTTCATTGAGGTGCATCCTTAGATTATTTGAAATCTTTCTACTTTTTTGATGTAGTCATTTATTGCTGTATCGTTTCCTTTTACCCTTGCGTTTTCTGTTTTGCGTAGGTTTTGGTATGTCGTGTTTGGTTTTCATTTGCTTCAAGGCAGTCTTTATTTTTTCATAATTTCTTCCTTGACTCAGTGCTCATTCAGAAGCAAGTTTAGTTTCCATGTATTTGTACATTTTCTGAAGTTCTTCTTTTTATTGATTTCATACATGATATGATTTTTTTTTGGTAAAATTTGTTGAGTCTTGTTTTGTGGCCTAACATATGGTCTATCCTGGAGAATGCTCCATGTGTTGATATGAAGAAAATGTATACTCTGCAGCTCTTGGATGAAATGTTCTGTAAATGTCTGTTTGGTCCATTTGATCTAATGTGTAGTTTAAATCTGTTTCTTTGTTAATATTCTGCCTAGATGATCTGTCTAATGCTGAGAGTGAAGAATTAAAGTCCCCAACTATTATTTTATTGGAATCTATCTTTCTCTTTAGATCTAATAATGTTTGCTTTATATGTCTGTATGCTCCAGTGTTGAGTGCATATATGTTTAGAATTGTTATATTCTATTGCTGAATTGATTCCTTTATCATTATATAATGACCTTCTTAGTCTCTTTTTACTGCTTTTGACTTAAATTCTGCTTTATCTGATATAAATATAGCTACTCCTGCTCACTTTTGGTTTTCGTTTGCATGGAATGTCTTTCTCTTTTTCTTTTTTTGGAGACAGGGTCTCACTGTGTCACCCAGGCTGGAGTGCAGTAATATGATCACAGCTCACTGCAACATCTACCTCCTGGGCTCAAGCGATCCTCCCACCTCAGCCTCTTGAGTATCTGGGACTACAGGCATGTGCCACCATCCCCGACTAATTTGTATATTTTTTGGAGATATGGGGTTTCACCATGTAGGCCAGGCTAGTCACAAACTCCTGAGCTCAAGTGATCTGCCTGCCTCAGCCCCCCAAAGTGCTGAGATTACAGGCGTGAGCCACTGTGCCCAGTCAGAATGTCTTTCTCCATCCCTGTTCTTTCAGTTTATGTGTCTTTACAGATAAGATGAGTGTTTTGTAGTCAGCATGTAGTTGGGCCATGTTTTAAAATCCATTCAGCAAGTCTCTGTCTTTTATTGAAAGTTTAATTCATTTATATTAAAGGTTATTATTGATATGCGAGGGCTTATTTCTAAAATTTTATTTATTGATTCTTATTGCATTAATATCCTTTGTTTTTTTCTTTTTCTCTTATTGTTTATTGTTGTAGTTTGGTTGTTTTCTATAGTGGTAACATTTGAGTTCTTTCCCTTCGAATTTGTGTGTTTCCTCTAACAGTGAGTTTTATTCTGTTGTGCCTTTACATGGTGCTAGATATCTTCCCTTTGCATCCAGGTTTAAGATTCCCTTAAGCAGTTCTCTTAGATCTGGTCTAGTAGTGATGAATTCTCTGTTTTTGCTTGTTTGGGAAAGACTTCATTTCTTCTTCACTTATGAAGGAAAACTTTTCTGGATATAGCATCCTTGGCTGGCAGTTTTCTCTCTTTCGGCACTTTGAATATGTTATCCCATTTCGTCTTGGCCCGTAAGGTTCTGTTGAGCAATGTGCTATTAGTCTGATAGAAGTTCCCTTCTAAGTGAGTGGCTACTGTCCTTGTGCTGTTTTTAGAATTCTTTCTTTGACTTCTGACAGTTTGACTATAATATGTGATGGAGAAGATCTTTTTACATTGTATTTGATTGGGGATTTATGTGCTTCTTGTATCTGGAAGCCTAAATCTCTTTCTAGACGTTGAAAGTTTTTTAGCTATTTATTAAATAGGGTTTCTAACCCTTTTGTTTTCTCTTTGCCTTCTGGGACACCACAAATTCAAGTATTTTATAGCTTTATGGTATTCCATATATCACATAGCCCTTGCTCATTGTTTTTTCTTTATTTTTTGTCTGATTGAGCTATTTCAAAAGACCTGTCTTTGTGTTCTGAAATGCATTGGTCTGCTTGATCTAGCCTGTTATTGAAGCTTTTCAATATGTTTCATCTTTCATTCAGTGAAATCTTCAGTTCCAGGATTTCTGATTGGTTCTTTTTTTATATCTGTCCATCTTTTTGGTAAATTTCTCATTCATATCCTGAGTTGTTTTTCTGATTTCTTTTTACTGCTTTTTTGTATTCCCTTGTATCTTACTGAGCTTCTTTAAAATAATTTTAAATTCTTTTTCTGGGATTTCATAAATTTCTCTTTGATTGGAATCTGTTGCCAGAGAGTTATTGTGCTCCTTTTGAAGTGTCCTTGTTTTTTTAATGTTTCTTATATATTTACATTGATATCTGGGTATCTGGTGTGAGAATCAACTCTTCCAATTTTTTGAATTTGCTATCATAATGGATGATTTTTTCTTAAAATGTATCTATGGTGTTGGTTGAGTAGAGTACTTTGGCTTTGATTCTGGGTGTGTGCAGTCATGTAATTTCTGTATGATTTTTTTCAGCTGTAAACCTCATTAGTGGTGTCAGTGGCTTAGAGTGCAGTTGTTAGTGGAGGCTGTGGTGAGGTTTTGCTGGGGACAGGGATACCAGGTAGGCTATTCCTTGGGCTCTAGTTTTGGCAGCACAGGCACAGCCTGCCTGTCCTTAGGTTCCAGGGAGGCATATGCTGGCACTGGTGTTGGGTAGTCTATTGCAGTTGATTGTTGGATCTCTAGGTGGCTTACTTGTGTGCCTATAGTGGCACCAGTGGGTCAGGCCAGTGGATGGGTTCTTGGGTCTCTGAACAGTGGGTATGGTATGGGCTATGGTAGTAGCAGTAGTAGGACTAACCTCTGAGTTCTGAGCAGTTCACGATTTTGTTGATGGTAGGTACGACAGGCTAGGCAGGACAGTGCCCAGGCCTGCAGGTGGCATGTGTGAGGTTTATGACTGTGTTGGTAGCAGCAATTGGATGGGCCCATTCTGAGGCCCCTAGGAGGAGTACTTAGGTGACAGTGGTGGTGGACTGGTGCTTGGCAATCCCCAGGCCCCTGGATGGCTTGCTCAGGCTCTTGCTAGGGGGTGTGCCAGGCCAGGTGGACCTGCCCTCTTCCCACCACCTGTGGTACATGTAGACCTTGGCTCTGGTAGGCGGGGGTGGGGTTATTTCTAGGCCCCTCAGTGGAATGCTCAAGTATGGGCGGCAGTGACTGCACCACCGCCCTATGCTAGGGAGGGTGAAGTTGCTTTCAGTGGCTCTAGCCATAGATAAATGGTTGGGATTGCATGCTTTGCTTGTGCTTTGGCCCCAGTGGCAGCAGCCTGCTGTGGGGCTGCCATGCTTAGGGGAGTGTATCCTCAGGACATGTGAAAATGTGCCATGGTTTTGCTGTTTGGGGCAATGGGGTTGCTGCTAATGGCTTGCATTTTTGCCCAGGTGGCATTAGCCAGGCTGCAGCAGTCGCTGTAGGCAGGTGATGTCAGTGGGGATCCAGTGATGTGGAGATGTGGGGCTGTTGGCTCCTGGGGACAGAATGCAGCTCTATAGGGGCTGGGCTCTCAAAATGGCACCTTACCGTAGCTGCTTGGGACTCAGGAGTTGTGTATGGCTCAGCATGAGCTCCTTCTCTAGAGCCATGGCATTGCACAGTCTTCAGGCAGCTTCCTACTTTATTCTCAGGGCCCATGGGGTTTGAGGAGCTCTTGCATGGCTAGGATTGCAGGGGTCTGTGGTGGGAATTTGAACTGCTGGGGGTCTTTCACTTATCCTTTTCCCACACTGGGGAGCCTCTCCAGGCTCCCAGCTGATCTCAGCTAAGCAGGTTGCCTCGTTTCCCTTTTTATCTTTGCTTTTTGGGTGTTTCTTGTCACTTTTCTATTAAATTAGAGTGTTCTATCTTCGACGACCTGTTTGAGATGTGATTATTTACTTGCATTTTGGCTCTTCTTTGTAGATAAGGTGAGTACCAAATGCCTCTAGGCAGCCTTCTTGAAGCACCTCCCCCTCATTTTGAGTTAAATTTTATGTAAGATGTGAGATATAGGTTGAGGTTCATTTTTATCATTTTGATGTCCTCTTATACCAGCACCATTTGTGAAGAAGACTGTCTTTTCATCTTTGAATTGCTTTTTCGTGCCTGTCAACCATGAATTGGGCATATTTGGACAGTTGTTTTTGAGTTCTTTATTTTGTTTCCTGGATCTATGTGTTTACCAATACCACACTCTCTTAATTACAGTAGCTATATAGTAAGTTAACATTGAACAGTGATTTTTCCTTTATTCTTTTAGAAAATTGTTTAGCTATTCTAGATCATTTGCCTTTATGTATGCATTTTAGAATATACTTGTCTATATCTGCAAAAAACTTTACTGCAATTTTGATAGGAATTGTATTTAAACTTTTAGATAAATTTGGGGAGAATTGATATCTATAATATTGAGTCTTCTAATCCATTCACCTGATATGTCTATTTAAATCTTCCTTGATTTCTTTCATTAGCACTCTGTAATTTTCAGCATGTAAATCCTATACCTGTTATTTGCTTTATATGTAAGTATTTTAATTTTTTGGAGTGATTATAAATGGTGTTATGTTTATAATTTCAGTTTACACATGTTTATTGATGGTTTATGAAAATACAATTAAGTTTTGTGTGTTGATATTATATACTGTGATCTTCCTGAACTTGCTTGTTTGTTCTAGGAGATTCTTTTATGGATTCCTTAGGATTTTCTACGTAGACAATCATGTCATTTGCAAATTGGATAATGTTTCTATCAAATCTATGTGCCTTTTATTTTTCTTTGTGGCCTGTGTTGACTAGGACTTTCAGTACTATGTTGAACAAGAATAGTGAGGATGGATATTCTTTCTTGTTTTCAACCTTGAGGGAAAAGGATTGTCTTTCACTATTAAGCATTACGTTAGTTGTAAGTTTTTTGGTAAACGCTCCTTATCATGTTGAAGAAGGCCCTTTTATTCGATGCTTGCTGGGAGGTTTTAATCATGAGTGAGTGTTGATTTTTTTTTCTTTTTTGAGACGGAGTCTTGCTCTGTCGCCCAGGCTGGAGTGCAGTGGCGCAGTCTTGGCTCATTGCAAGCTCTGCCTCCCGGGTTCACACCGTTCTCCTGCCTCAGCCTCCTGAGTAGCTGGGACTACAGGCACCCGCCACCATGCCCGGCTAATTTTTTGTATTTTTAGTAGAGACAGGGTTTCACCGTGTTAGCCAGGATGATCTTGATATCCTGACCTCGTGATCCACCTGTCTCGGCCTCCGAAAGTGCTGGGATTACAGGCGTTAGCCACCGCACCTGGCCGAGTGTTGAATTTTTGTCAAATCCTTTTATTTTTTGCATCAGTTGATAGGGTCATGTATTTTTTTTCTTCTGTAGCCTGTTGAAATAGTGGATTACATGTTGATTTTTTGAATAGTGAACCGTTCTGTCATAAGCCCTGTTTGGTTCTGATGTAATTTGTTTTTATATATTGCTGGTTTTGAATTAATATTTTGTTGAAGATTTTTGTGTCCAGGTCCATTAGAGATATTGAACTGGGGTGTTCTTTTTTTGTACTGTCTTTGTCTAGAATTGTTATCAGGGTAATACTGATCTTCTAACATGATTTAGGAAATATTTACCTCTGTTTTATTTACTGGAAGATATTGTGTAGAATTGGTACCAATTTATTTTTAAGTATTTTGGAGATTTCTCCAGTGAACCTTTCTTGACCTGAAAAATTTTGAGGGGAGATTTTAATTCAAATTCATTTTCTTTAATAGTCATAAGACTATTCGTATTGTTTATTTTATATAGGATGAGTTTTAGTAGTTTGTGGTTTTTAAGGTCTCGGACCATTTCGTCTAATTTGTATAATTTATGTGTATAGGGTTGTCACTAATATTCCCTTCTTGTTCTTTTTTTTTGAGATGGAATCTTGCTCTGTGGCCCTGGCTGGAGTGCAGTGGCGTGATCTTGGCTCACTGCAACCTCCGCCTCCCAGGTTCAAGCGATTCTCCTGCCTAAGCCTCCTGAGTAGCTGAGATTATAGGTGCGCACCACCACACATGACTATTTTTGTATTTTAAGTAGAGACGGGGTCATGTTGGTCAGGCTGGTCTCAAACTCCTAACCTCGTGATCTGCCTGCCTTGGCCTTCCAAAGTGCTGGGATTACAGGCGTGAGCCACTGCGCCTGGCCCCTTTCTTGTTTTTTTAAAGGCTGCAGGGTCTGTAGTGATATCCTCTGTTTTACTATTACCTGTTGAAGAGATTTAACAATGAGAAATAAATGCTTTTATTTAGTCATATAATTTTCTTTTGAAGTACACATTATTTCTTTATGTGGATAATATTTCTGTTTAGTATCATTTGCCTCAACCCAAAGAACTTTTCTTACCATTTTCTTTTGCAGGCCTGCTGGTGATAAATTATTTCAGCTTTTTTGTGTCTGAAAAAAAATCTTTATTTCTTCTATTTGGAAAGATGCTTTTGGTTGGCATAGAATTCCAGGTTGATGGACTTTTTTTTTTTAGTTGAAAAATGTTGCACCATTGTCTTGTTTGCATAGCTCCTGAAAAGTCTTTTGTCATTATTATCTTTGTTCCTTTTTTCTCTATCTGCTTCTAAGATTTTATCTTTTTTTTTTTTTTTTTTTTTTGAGACAGTCTCACTCTGTCACCCAGGCTGGAGTGCAATGGTGTGATCTCGGCTCACTGCAACCTCTGCCTCCCGGGTTCAAGCAATTCTCCTGCCTCGGCCTCCCAAGTACCTGGGATTACAGGCGCGTGCCACCACACCCAGCTAATTTTTATATTTTTGGTAGATGGGGTTTCACCATGTTGGCTGGGCTGGTCTCAAACCCCTGACCTCAAGTGATCTACCCACCTTGGCCTCCCAAAGTGCTGGGATTACAGGTATGAGCAACCACGCCTGGCCCTAAGATTTTATCTTTATCACCTATTTTCAGAAATGTAATTATGATATACCTTTGTATCATTTTCTCAGTGTTTATTCTGCTTGGATTTGTGGTCTTAAAGTTTTCATCATATTTGGAAAACATTTCATCCACTTTTTAAAAACTATTGTTTTTTTTTTTCCCTCAGTTCTCAGTCTCCCTCCTGTGTTTGTCTGTTTGCATTGCTATGAAGGCATGCTTGAGACTGGGTAATTTAAAAGAAAAGAGGTTTATTTGACTTACAGTTCTGCAGACTGTACCTGAAGCATAGTGCTGATGTCTCCTTCTGGTGAGGGTCTGAGGAAGCTTACAATCATGGCAGATCAAAGGGGTACCAGTATGTTACATGGTGAGAGGGAGGGAGCGAGAGAGAGAAGGAAGAGGTGCCACCTTCTTTTAAGCAAGCAGATCTCAGGGAACTCATAGAGTGAGAAATTATTTCCATGAGTTCTGCCCCCATGACCCAAACACCTCCCACTAGGGCCACCTCCAACATTGGAGGTCACATTTCAACATGAGATTTGGAGGGGACAAACATCCAAACTATGTCACTTCCCAGCATTGATTTCATCTTGGAACACACTTAAAATGTATTAGACAACTTGACATTGTCACACTGGTCAATAATACTTTCTTCATTTTTAAACTATTGTTTTTCTCTGCTTCATTTTGGATAATTCTGCTGTTAGGTCTCAAAGTTCATTCATCTCATCTTCTGTAATTATATTTGCTGTGAATTTTTAACAGTCTATTTTTAATTTTAGATAGAATTTTTTTATGTATAGAAGCTTAAATTTCTTCCAGTTCTCACTTTGGTATATTAATGATTAAACATTTTTTTCAAACATACAGATCACATTGAAGTAGATGTTTTTTCCTTCTAATTCCTTTATCTTTATCATTTCTTGGTTTATTGATTGATTTTCTTCATGTTTATGGATCATGATTTTTACCTTTTTACATGCCTTATCATTTTTCATAGATACCAGACATTGTAAATTATACATTATTGGATGCTGGATTTTCTTCTATTCCTTTAAAGAATAAGTTGGTGCTTAAATTTTGTTTTGCTTTGCTTTTTGGTTTTATTTTAAAGAATGTTGGGCTTTGTTCTGACAGGTATTTATAATATTTGTATCTTTTTTTTCTTGGAGGCTTGTTTTTTTAATCTTTGATATGACAGTTTTAGAGTTTCCTTTCTCTAGGGCTAATAGGCATACATATTTGCAGCTCTGTGTGTACTTAAGGAATTGTTCATCCTGCTGCTTTCCCTGTCCTTGGGTAATTTTTTTTTCTCCTATGTGTATGGATAAATAGTCAAAGACATGAGTGAATCCCTCTGAAATTCTGCCCAGCAGTCTCTCTTTCTAAACAGTTTCCCCTGCGCTCCTTCTCTGCTTCCAAATCCAGCCACCTTGGATTATTCAAATTCTGATCTCTGTATCATCAGCTCAACAGGGTCTTCATTCTTTGTTTGGGTTCTTCCTTCCTGCTGTGCCTTAAACTGTCTCCACACAGTAAGCTAGGGCATCAAGGGGTTTATGTCATTTGTTTCTTTTTCTCTCAATTCTGGCTGCCTGTTGTCCAACTGTTCTTTTACATGTGTCTTCTTGCTTTCCAGTTGTTTAAGGAAAGTGGAAATAATTCGGTTCCTGTTATTCTGTTTTGGCCAGAAGTAGAATTCCAATAGTGTTTTAAATACTCATTTATTTAATACAGTTTTTAAAAATAAAGATGCCAAATGGTACTTTCTTTATTGTGATGAAATAGACATAATGTAAAACTTACCATTTTAACTGTTGTTAAATATAGGGTTCAGTAGCATAAAGTACATTTACATTGTTGTGCAGTCATCACCACCATCCATCTCCTGAACTCTGCACCTTGCAAAACTGAAACCCTATACCCATTAAACAATAACTCCCTATTCCCCTCTCTGCCCAGCCCTCAGCAACCACCGTTCTACTTTCTGTCTCTATAAGTTTGATGACTCTAGGAATCTCAGAAATGTGCAATCATATAATATATAATATTTGTCCTTCTGTGTCAGCTTATTTCACTTTGCATAATATCTTCAAGGTACATCAGTTTTGTGTAAGAATGTCTTTCTTTATTAAGGAAATATTTACTACAAAGAATTGACTCACACAATTATGGAGGCTGAGAAGACCCAAGTTCTGTTATCAGCAAGCTGGAGACCCAGGAGAGCTGACAGTAAAGTTCAAGTCAGAAGAGCTGATGGTGTGAGTTCCAGTCTAAATCTGAAGGCAGAAGACTAATTTCCCAGCTTGAAGATCGGCAGAGAGAGTGAATTCTCCTTTACTCAGCGTTGTTGCTCTGTGCACACTTTCATCCAGTTGGATGAGGCTCATACAAATTGAGGAGGGAATCTGCTTTACTAAGTCTACCCATTCAGATGTTAATCCTATCCAGAAACATCCTCACAGTCACACCCAGAATAATATTTAATCAAATATCTGGTTACCTTATTTCCCAGTCTCATATAAAATTAGCCATCATACCATTCACCCATCTATGTACACTTGGGGTGCTTCTACCTTTTGACTATTGTGAATAATGCTCCTATGAACATTAATGTGCAAGTATATCTGTTTGAGTTCCTGCTTCCTTTTGGGTATGAAATCGTATTTTTATACAGTTGTTTTATATGCTTAGTTGAGGTTTAGAATTCTAGTTGCTGGATCACTTTAACCACTAGAGCCATGCTTTAAAAACAGTCGTGTCATATCTGATGCATATTTAGGTTATATGGATTCAAATCTATTGTATTTTATAGGTTATTGAAGGGATTTTCAATGGAAATCTTTCATTATACTCGATTTTTGCATAATCTGCCTTTGGAACCCAGTCTCAGGGTAAAATGCAACTTTACATTATTGCTTTTCTCTTACAAAGCAGAAAAATAATTTCTGACAGTTCCTTTCTGTATGTCTTCTCAATGCTAATGAAATAAAAAAATCTATATCAGGTTCTCTAGTTGACAGGAAAAATTTGAGGAATGTCTTTTTATTTAGTTGTTCGTTTTATCATTCAAAGGAACATTTTGAGCAAAGCCAAAGCACATTTTTGTATTCATAACTGTTTATTCTATATAATCAGAGAAAAGGAGGGCTAGAGTATTATAAGGTTGATATAGCATATAGAATCAGTATGGTGATTTTTGAAAGAGTGCTGACTTTGGCTTTTAGGGATATGCTTATTTTATTAATCCCATCTACTACTAAGCTGTGATTTTGGACAAGCCATTTTACCTGAGTTCATTTTCTTGTCTGAAAGACAGTGAATATGATAATACTTGTTACTATTTCATAGGATTGTGATGATCAAATGAAGTAATGTATATGAAAGTGCTTTGAAATCTTTAAAGTGATATATAGATGTAAGGCTGCATTTATGGTCTAGGCTAACAGATACAGAAAAGAGCTGTTAGAAGCAAGATCTGCTTATGTATGGACAGTTTCGATGTCTGATTAAAAGGTTTGTAAGTTTTGAATTGTAGATGACTGCGAAGTCAAGGAATCTGATTTTGTCCCAGAGCCTCAATTCATTGGAAGAAGGAAAATGAGAACATTCTGGCTACTGCAAGTCAATTTTTGATATTAAAACCCTTCTGTCTTTATTTTGAAAAGATTTACAAGGTGGTAAGAACTTTACTAATGAATGAAGAATTGTCAACATATGTCCCTTTTTAAACCCAGTATATGTGACATTTTTGTCTTACTAGAGTGTACAAACTTTTTTTTTATATTGGGGATAGTATATTTTTATGTGAGTTGAATTTGATATAAGAGTTAGAAGAGTGCTAAACAGTGGTTCTTTTAATGAAGCATTTGATGGCTTGTTTTTGTGTTCTACAGAGAGAGGCTAGTGACTGAAGGTAGACAAAATACTTTTTTCTCTAGCATATTTTGATGATGTTCTATACAGAAAGATTTGTTATATTTCTGTGAGAGACGGAAATAAAGTGTTATTTCTGAGATATTTCTTTTGTAGGAAAGGGACTGGTTTGCCTCACAACATATTCTAAGAGTGTTTGTCTTCAGGAACTTGAGTTAGAATGAAGAGGCTCAAAACCTAACTAACCTTTATTTATTGATGAGACAAAAATGATTCCACATCTGTTTGGAAATGAGTAAATTTGAAGTTTTAAATTTTTTGTGTCATTTTTAAATGACTCTGTGATGACAGATAGTGAGAACTTTTGCCTCATCCTACAATATGAACCTAAAAGATATTAAATGCTTGTTGACAGACTGATTCTAGGGCTGGTACAGGAAAGATACAAGATGAGGCTGGAGCATCTTTTAGTAGTAGAAAGTAAGGAAGTGCATGAAAAGCAAAAAGGTAAGAGCATGTCAAAGGGACACAGGAGACATCTAAAAAGGAGCTTACAATAGTCATGGCTGGAACAATTTGAGGAGCAAAATGAATGATGTAGTATTGGATTATAACCTAAAGTATACAATAAGTGTCCACAAGTCCATACTGATATAAATAAGTGATTGAGTAAATGTGTAAATGGATGAAGAGAGATGAATATTCCATACAGAATAATTCCAATAATATATTTAGGTGTTCTTTGCTATGGGAGGTAGAGAATAATTCCTCCTCTTTTTCCCTGAGGGTGGGCCAGACATAGTCACCTCGAAAGAATAGATTATGAAGAGGAAAAAAACAGTAACGTTATAGTGGAGAGGCCTGGCATATAGTACCTTAACCAGGTAATGAAGGCTAGCATCACTGGTGATGTCCTGTTGATACCATGTTCCCCTTGCCATGATCTGTTGAGAATGGCAGTTGACCTCAGTGATATTCTTTCCAGAAATCATAACCCTAGTCTAATCATAAGCAGAAACATTAGACGAACCCAAATTGAGGGTCATTCTATAAAATACCTGACACAGTCCTCAAAACTGTCAAGATCATGGAAAAGAAGGGAAGATTGAGAATTATCACAGACCACAGAGACTGGGGAGAGATAATAATTACATGTAATGTGGTGTCCTGAATGGAATCCTGGAAAAGAAAATGAACACTAATGGAACAACTTGTGAAATATGAATAATGCCTGGGCTTTAGTTTGTAGTAATGTACCAATATTGGTGTCTTCATTTTGACAAATGTGACATGATGTTATAAAATGTTACTAATAGGGGAAAGTGAGTAAAGGGTATAACACACTCTTCGTACTGTCTTTCAACTTTTCCATCAATCTAAAATTACTCCAAAACTCAGCGAGGCATGGCGGCTAAGCCTGTAATCCCAGCACTTTGGGAGGCTGAGGTGGGCAGATCACTTGAGTTCGGGAGTTTGAGACCAGCCTGGGCAACATGGTGAAACCCCATCTCTGTGAAAAATACAAAATATAACCTGGCATGGGGGCACCCGCCTGTAGTCCCAGCTACTCGGAAGGCTGAGGTGGGAGGATCACTTGAGCCTGGGAGGCAGAGGTTGGAGAGTGAGCCAAGATTGTGCCACTGCACTCCAGCCTAGGTGACGGAGTGAGACCTCATCTCAAAAAGAAAAAAGAAAAAGAAAAACTCCTTGACAGAGTTTTTTTGGTTGCATGGATTCAAATGATGTGAAGAACAGAAACTATGTGAAATAATTTTTGCTAGTTAGCGTGTTTTATTTTAACAGTTTTCCCCCTAAAAATGGAATAATATGCTATATTAATACTATTTACATTTATAAGTTTCTTTATTCGTAAATGTTTCAGTTATATATAAGATTTGATGACTTTTGAAAAGTCATATTAATGTCTGAAACTTTTAAATGAGGTTAATAAGGTACAAATTAATAGCTGTCTATTTTGAAGGGAAGAAGTTAAATATAATGGTGTATAGAATCTGAGTTGTAGTTGTTTTTAGAATTATGATTTTCAAGGTGCTTATGTTAATACTGTGCTTGATCATAATATAGTATTTTGGGAATTCAATTTAGTAGCATTATCAGTTAAAGCAACACATAAAAATTAATAGAACAAAGAATACTTTAAATTAAATTAAATTAAAATCTTTGTTACAAACTATGAAAATGAATATAAGTAAATTTCATATCATTTCTTTTCTAGATTTATTATCTAGGATAGATTTGGATGAACTAATGAAAAAAGATGAACCGCCTCTTGATTTTCCTGATACCCTGGAAGGATTTGAATATGCTTTTAATGAAAGTAAGTGGGTTATCTATCTATCTATCTATCTATCTATCTATCTATCTATCTATAGTATATGCAAAATTTATTTATCAGTGCTCATAGAATAATAAGACAGATATTATTTGCTACTTTTAAAGGCCAAGTAGAATGTTTTCTGTATTCTTTTGAGAAATAGTGACATCCTTGCATGGTGAAATTCTTCATTCAAGTGAAAGAACCAAGTAACAAGTAACAATTTTCTGTAGTTGTCAAGTTACGTGAACTAATGGTCATGAATTTGATTCAGCTTATGCATTTCAACCTTGAGCGTTCAACTCCCTGGTATCCAATTTGAACTCCTAATTAAATTATAGAGAAAGATGCTACTGTTTCACATGTTATTTAGAATAAAGTGTCTGGCAATAATTATCTGTGACAATGTTTTAAAGTAGTTTTCCATGATTTTTCAGGCAACATCCTTGTTTTAAAATTTATTAATTCAGTTCTGAATACAATAACCTTTACACTTGGGATGTGGAGGAACATACTGTAGATTGCAAGGATGTTTCTGGAACAGAGAATCATGTGTAATACACCCTTACACTTGAAGGGTAATATTATTACAGGGTAGGTGCATCTGAGTTGTAGTTTTCTATTGGTTGTTCTGCATTAACCGAATTGGTGCTTTGTCATCACTGTATTTGTGGATATTCCTTTCCAATATCAGTTATAGATATTAAGAGTTATGGTGACAGTCATCGTGTACTAAGATGTTGAGTTTAAAATAAGAGACTAGAAACTTTGATCTTTTCTCTGATATTAATTTTTATACTTTTTAATAAAAGTTATTTTATACCAGTAGAAGTAGTAATATTTGTTGCGTGGAGGGGAAGAGGAGTTTAAGCAATTGGCCTGTAGTGTATTTCTCTCCTGATTACCCCGGGAATACCCCTGGGGAAAAAGTCATGTCCAGGAGACAAGTGGCTTCGTCTTTTCTCCTTATAAACATGCTGATAATTAACTCATTTAATAAATTAGACTGGCCAGGTGTGGTGGCTCATGTCTGCAATCCCATCACTTTGGGAGGCAGAGGCGGGTGGATCACTTGTGGTCAGGAGTTCAAGACCAGCCTGGACAGCATAGTGAAACCTCATCTCTACTAAAAAATACAAAATTCAGCCAGGCGTGGTGGCATGCGCCTGTGGTCCCAGCTACTGTTGGCTGAGGCATGAGAATCTCTTGAACCTGGGAGGCAGAGGTTGCAGTGAGCTGAGATTGGGCCACTGTACTCTCCAGCCTGGGTGACAGAGCGAGACTCCATCTAAAAATAAATAAATAAATAAAAATAAATGTAGATTAATATTTGCTCTGAGGAGAGTCCTTTTCTATAGAATACTTTGAGCAGGATGACTGGTTTAGATATGAGGAATGTTTCTCTGCAGAATATCACATAAGCAGGACAACTCTTTGGCACGTAAAATGGAAATATTTTATAACCCAAATGCTCACCAGCGTGTGAGGTTACCTGTATGCATCACGTAGAGTCCTCATCTACTTTGGGCCAGAGAGTGCTATCCAATGAGAGGAAAGGACCTGGGGGAAATGACCAGATGCTGCAGACTTCTCCCTGCCTTGCCTATTCTTCTTGATTCCTTGTGCCCTTGAAATTATTAGTAAAGCTTAGTCATTATCCGTAAAGATCTTTGCTTTGTGTGAATGTGATTTGATAGCCTGAACCTGTGTTAGCTCACTGCTTCTCTCTGGTTTTCATTTGACATTCTACCTGTATTTGAAGACCTAGTTGAGAAATCTCACTGAAACCTTCTAAACCTCTTCTAGCCCACAGATAGTTTTCATGTTTCCAAAATCATTCTAGACTTTATTGTCTATATGAATCCCCAGTGGCAGATTTTTAGACTGTTGACATATTTCAATCTCGATTGTTTAGCTTCCTGAAAAGTTGCTTAACTTCTTAATATTTATGCTTTTACTCCTCAGGTAACCTCTAAGCTTCTTGAGGACTGGGCCCATGTTCATGGCAATAGCTAGAGAGGTCTTTATACATATTAGGCCTTAAAATATTGTTAGTTTGCTTTAGATTAGAGACATGAAGGTCAAGAAGAATAACTTTTGAGTAGTTGGGGACCATTAGTAGTTACATAATCTGTATGTTTGCATCATAGTGACATCTGAAGAAAAAAATCTAATGAAAAAGATAAACTGTTCTGAGAAAGTTATTTTAAATTTTTATCAGACATTCTTTGTTGTACTGTTTATATTATTGTCAATATACTTTGAAGTATAGCAATATTGTTTGTTTATCTTCTTAGAGGGACAGTTAAGACACATAAAAACTGGGGAACCATTTGTTTTTAACTACCGGGAAGATTTACACAGATGGAACCAGAAAAGATACGAGGCTCTAGGAGAGGTATGTCACATATACTACTTTAACTTTGTTTTTCCCAATTTTAAATATTCAGAATAAAAGTTTTGAAGATGCAGCAGTTTATGCACTCTTTCTACAAAATGTGATTCCAAAAAGGTTTTTGTTTTTTTTTTTTGTTCCTTTTTAGTGGTTATGTTAGAAGCATATTCTCAGTTTAAAAGTTCCTGTTCAGTGGCTCACGCCTGTAATTACAGCACTCTGGGAGGCCGAGGCAGGTGGATCACGAGGTCAAGAGATCCAGACCAGCCTGGCTAACATGGTGAAACCCTGTCTCCACTAAAAATACAAAAAGTAGCTGGGTGTGGTTGCATGCGCGTGTAGTCCCAGCTACTTGGAAGGCTGAGGCAGGAGAATCGCTTGAACCTGGGAGGCGGAGGTTGCAGTGAGCTGAGGTGGCACCATTGCACTCCAGCCTGGGTGACAGAGCAAGACTCCGTCTCAAAAAAAAAAAAAAAAAAAAGTTTCTGTTTTTAGGTGAGCTGTGGTGGCTCACACCTATAATCCCAACACTTTGGGAGGTCAAGGCAGGAGAATCACTTGAAGCCAGGAGTTTGAGACTAGCCTGGACAATATAGCAAGACCATGTCTCTACAAAAAATAAAAAAATTAGCCAGAAATAGTGGTGTGTGCCTATAGTCCTAGTTACTTGGGAGGCTGAGGTGGCAGGATCACTTGAGCCCAGGAAGTCAAGGCTGCAGGGAGCTGTGATCACACCGTTGCACTCCAGCCTTGCTGACAGAGTTAGACCCTATCTCAAAAAAAAAAGAAAAAACTTCTGTTTTTACACAAACTTATACTTCCCATGACTATAATATTTTGTAGTGAGTCATTACATAAGAAAACAAATTTATGCGAAATTCTAATTTGATTTTTTAAATTTTGTTTTGTTTTTGAGACAGGGTCTCGCTCTGTTACTCAGGCTGGAGTGCAGTGTCACGATCTTGGCTCACTGCAACTTGCACCTGCCTGGTTCAAGCGATTCTCGTGCCTCAGTCTCTGAGTAGCTGGGACTACAGGCGTGCACCACCATGCCCACCTAATTTTTTTTTGTACTTTTAGTAGAGATGGGGTTTCACCTAATTTTTTTTTGTACTTTTAGTAGAGATGGGGTTTCACCTAATTTTTTTTTGTACTTTTAGTAGAGATGGGGTTTCACCTAATTTTTTTTTGTACTTTTAGTAGAGATGGGGTTTCACCATGTTGGCCAGGCTGGTCTTGAACTCCTGACCTCAAGTCATCCGCCTGCCTCGGCCTCCCAGAGTACTGGGATTACAGGTGTGAGCCACTGCGCCGAGCCTAAAAATGTTTTTAAGAGGTTGAATCCCCTACTATGCCAGAATGAATAAGTTTTCTTTCAGGTGTTTATTTGTGTGAAGAATATTGATATTTGGCTAATAAGTTGAATTTAACCTACTTGTCTTTGACTGGATAAAGGAGTAGGCCTTGTGAACATTAGGTACTTCACATGGTACTGCTTGTAGGAACCTTTGAAAATGTCATTTGCCATTTAGG